>NC_000002.12:116883557-117186587 GCF_000001405.40 Homo sapiens
ACAAAAGCCTTTATCACTCATGATACAGAAAGTAGAATGAGTGTCATGGTCATGACCCTTCCCTCTGACCCCATTTTGTGCCACATGACACGAAGCATGCCAGGTAGATTCTGTTCATACAGTGAGTTTGTATCACAGCTGAGGATCTCTAAACTTAGATTTCCAATTATTTATAAGAGGCTGCCAGCAAGCTCGTCCCACTTTTTCCCAAGAGAGAGACATTACCTATAGCATACTGGACAACAAATCAGTCTGCCTTTTGCTCCAGAAAGAGACACCCTTTCTGTATCCAAAAAGTCAGTTTGCTATACAAACATGCCTGAAGAGATGCTTCAGAACAAAGGCCGCCAGGACCTCTGCTTCCAATCCCACACGTGGAAATGTGAAAGAGCCAAGGATAACTGTCCTAACAGCCATCAATAAAATATACACGCTGTCCTAAATCTTATAAACACCAAAACAAGATCTGGCAAAGTATTCAAATAAATCTGGTCATTTTGCAGACTTTTTTTCCTGGTGAAACACACCCTCCTTATCACTAAATAAATTAATATCCCTTGTATATTATGTTCAAATGGCAACCACATTTTGCTATTAGCTAACATGATTGTATTAATGTTATTTTTCTTAAAGATGAAACATCTGCTCAGAAAAAAAAATCTAGGACATGGACATAGATCAAAGTACTAATATTACCCTAAACTCAACATTTTAAAATTAGATAATATATTTTTCTTCTAAAATGGTGTATAGTTCTTATCTACTAAGTCATTCTGGTTTCTTCTTCCTTGTTTTCTCCTTATAATCATAATTGTTACCAAGCACTGAAAATCTTCATTAATAAAATGTTTTCTTTCTCTAATTATCAAACCAATCTTCTTCTAATTATATTCTGTCTGGAATATTGTAATTGCTACCTAACTGATCTTTCTCCAATTTTCCTAGGCCACCAGGCCTGAAAATGTGTGAATAGTCTATCTATCTATCACAACAATCATGCCATATACACAGTATAAGTTACTTTCTATTTTGTAGGGATAATGCCAAAACTTCATTTAACATTTTTTTTACCTTCCCAACTGTCACTTCTTTTCTAATAGAACCATTTAAAGTTGTGTATCTACTACTAATCCCTATACATATTTGAATGTTTACATTACTTTTCTCTTCTCTTTTTAACTTCTTCCCTGCCAGAATTATGTCATTTTCCTCTATCTCCTTTAACTTATAAAACCTTTAAAAAATGAAGGCCAAGCTAACACTACAATGCAAAATCACTACATCCTCACAATAGAGAGCAAATATTAAATAAAATGAATACACCATGGGTTAGCTGGAATACCATGCAAATCGAACCTTTAAACAATACTGGTAGATGTAAAATAATGCAACCTCTTTAGAAATATGGCGTTTCTAATTCTGCAAAGAAAGTCAATGGTAGCTTGATGAGAATACCACTGAATCTAAAAATTACTTTGGGAAGTATCATCATTTTCATTATACTGATTCTTCCTATCCATGAGCATGGAATATTTGTGTCCTCTCTTATTTCCTTGAGCAGTGGTTTGTAGTTCTCTTTGAAGAGCTCCTTCACATCCCTTGCAAGTTGAATTTCTAGGTATTTTATTCTCTTTGTAACAATTGCGAATGGGAGTTCATTAATGATTTGGCTCTCTGCTTGTCTGTCATTTGTATATAGGAATGCATGGAACCAAAAAAGAGCCTGTATAGAAAAGACAATCCTAAGCGGAGGACAAAGCTGTAAGCATCCTGACTTCAAGCTGTACTACAAGGCTACAGTAACCAAAACAGCATGGTACAGGCACCAAAACAGATATATATGTGTGTGTATATATATATATATATATATATATCTCGATAGTTAGATACAGATATATATAATTATCAATGGAAAATAACAGAGACCTCAGAAATAACACCACTCATCTACAACCATCTGATCTTTGACAAACCTGACAAAAACAAGCAATGGGGAAAGGATTCCCTATTTAATAAATGGTGCTGGGAAAACTGGCTAGCCATATGCAGAAAACAGAAACTGGATCCCTTCCTTATACTGTGTATGAAAATTAACTCAAGATGGATTAAAGACGTAAATGTAAAACTCAAAACCATAAAAACCCCAGGTGAAAACCTAGGCAATACCATTCAGGACTTAGGTATGGGCAAAGACTTCGTGACTAAAACACCAAAAGCCAAAATTGACAAGTGGGATCTAATTAAACTAAGAGCTTCTGCATAGCAAAAGAAACTAGCATCAGAGTGAGCAGGCAACCTACAGAATAGGAGAAAATTTTTGTAATCTATCCATTTGATAAAGGTCTAATATCTAGAATCTACAAAGAACTTAAATATACCAAAAAAAAAAACCCCACAAACAACCCCATCAAAAAGTGGGCAAAGCATATGAACAGATACTTCTCAAAAAAAGACATTTATGTGGCCAACAAATGTATGAACAAAAGCTCATCATTGGTCATTAGAGAAATGCAAATCAAAACCACAATGAGATACCATCTCATGCCAGTCAGAATGGTGATTATTAAAAAGTCAGGGAACAAGAGATGCTGGCAAGGATGTGGAGAGATAGGTACACTTTTACACTCTTGGTAGGAGTGTAAATTAGTTCGACCACTGTGGAAGACAGTGTGGCGATTCCTCAAGGATTCCTCAAGGATCCAGAACCAGAAATACCGTTTGACTCAGCAATCCCATTACTGGGTATATGCCCAAAGGAATATAAATCATTCTGCTATAAAGACACATGCACATTTATGTTCATTGCAGCACTATTTACAATAGCAAAGACTTAAATACTGGGTATTACCTCAAAGATCTAGGTATATACTGGGTGTACCACAAGGATCTAGAACCAGAAATACTATTTGACCCAGCAATCCCATTACTGGATATACACCCAAAGGAATATAAATCATTCTACCATAAAGACACATACACTTGTATGTTTATTGCAGCACTATTTACAATAGCAAACACTTGAAACCAACCCAAATGCCCATCAATGATAGACTGGATAAAGAAAATGTGCTACATATATACCATGGAATACTATGCAGCCATAAAAAAGAATGAGTTCATGTCCTTTGCATGGACACGGATGAAATTGGAAGCCATCATCCTCAGCAAACTAACACTGGAACAGAAAACTAAACACCACATGTTCTCACTCGTTAGTGGGAGTTGAACAGTGAGAACACATGGACAAAAGAAGAGGGACAAGACACACTGGAGCCTGTCAGGGAGTGGGGGGCAAGGGGAAGGAGAACATTAGGAAAAATACCTAATGCATGTGGGGCTTAAAAGCTCGATGATGGGTTGATAGTTGCAGAAAACCACCATAATACCTGTGTGCTTATGTAACAAACCTGCACATTCTGCACATGTATCCCAGAACTTAAAGTACATTTCTTTAAAAAAATAGGACGTTTCTTTAAAATTTAAATGTACATCTACCTTAAAACCAGCCATTTCATCTCTAGGTATTTACCTAGGAGAAATGAAAATATATGCCTATGCAAAGACTCATACATGAACATTTATACCTGCTTTAATTTTAATAGTTAAAAACTGGAAACAACCGAAATGTTCATCAACAGGCAAAAGGATAAACATATGTTGGTATATCCATGGTGGTATGGAATACTATTCAGAAATAAAAAGGAATTAACTAAGACACACACAATACATGAAAGAATCTCAAAATAATTGTGTCACATGGTAGAAGATCCCTGTCAAAAAAGTACATGCTATATGATTCATTTATGTAAATTACTAAATAATTAAAACAAATGTGTAGCAAAAACACTTCAGATCAGTGTTACTTGGAGGTGGAGAATAGAGTGAATGGAAAAGTATTCCAGGAGGAGGTTGCAAAAGTACATGAGAAAAACTTTTGGGGTAAATATAAATATATATATATATATATAAATATATATATACACATATATAAATATATATACACATATACACATATATAAATATATATACACATATATAAATATATATACACATATATAAATATATATACACATATATAAATATATATACACATATATAAATATATATAAGTATATAAAAACAAATACATAAATATATAAATATATAAATATAAATATATATTTATATATATATACACCCCAAAATACAGTGTGTGTGTGTGTGTGTGTGTGTGTGTGTGTGTGTGTGTGTGTGTATTATGTTTATCTTTATTGCAATGATGGATTTATGGGCATTTATGTATGTTAATAATCATTAAAATGTATATTTTAAATCCATGGAATTTATTACACCTCAACAAAGCTGAAGAAATTAGATAACAAATAAGTACGCCCGAGAACCAGGCTGGAAAGTCTTGATCATGTGGAGTTGCAGGCAACTGTGAGGTGCTCTATGGCAGCCTCTCTTCTAGCCACTTTACAAATTCACTTGTCCAACTCCTACCCACTCTTAAATCTGCTTTAGCTCTCCCAGATTAATGTTCCAAGACATTTTCTGTATATTCTTGACACTGTTTGAGTTTACTAACCTCAATCAGAACTCTCAAAAATGATTTTTCCCCCACTTAACTTCCCCGAAGCATATTATCTGCACAATCCATATGTCACTTCATGATATATGCATTACAGCACTATTAAGATAGGGAAACTTTTTTTCTTCACAATGAGGCACATAGACTAAACACTTGACAAAGGCAGGAACTAGAAACTTATAGCATATTTATCAGCAAATACATATTAGAGTGGAGTCTGTACATTGCATTTGTGTTATCTTGTGTGATTTTCTGTATTCCTAGCATGAGCGATCAAAAGAGAAGAGAAAAAAAGGGATAGCAGAGGAAATAAATAGAAAGTTAGACTCTACTCCTGATTACTGTAAATTTAGTCATATATGACTTTTCAAGGTCTCTTTGTTCTCCCAAAAATTCTTATTTAGATCTTTTAAATTTTACTTTTAATTCACAAAATATTATTGTATATATTATATATTTGTGGGGCACAATGTGATATTTGATATATGCTTTACATTGTGGAATAATTAAATCAAACTAATTAACAAATTTATCAACTCATATACTCATCATTTTTTGTGGTGTAAACATTTAAAATCCATTCTTTTGGTAATTTTGGAACATATGATGTATTTTTATTTATTATGGCCACCATTCTGTGCAATAGAGCATTAAAGCTTATTCTTCTTGTCTATTTGAAATTGTACAGTTTTTGATCAACCTCCCCCTTTCCCATTGACTTCACTCCCCTAGCCTCCACAAGCCACCATTCTACTCCCTACTTCTGTTTTTAGATTTCACATATAAGTGAGATTTTATGTTATTTTTCTTTCTGTGCCTATCTTATTTCACTTACCATAATGTCCTCTGGGTTCATTCATGTTGTTGCAAATGACAGGATTTTATTCTTTGTTAAGGTTGAATAGTATTTCATTGTATGTGTATACCACATTTTTTATCCATTCATCTAATGATGGACACCTAAGTTGTTTCTACATGTTAGCTGTTGTGAATAATGCTGCAATAAACATGGGAGTCCAGATATCTCTTTGACATGCTGATTTCAATCTCTTTGGATATATACCGCTGAATCTTATGGTACTTCTATTTTTAGGTTGCTGTGAAGACTTCATACTGTTTTCCATAATGTCTTTATTAATTTACATCCCCACTAACAGTTTATAAGTTTCCCTTTTCTCCACACCCTTGCCAACACGTGTTATCTTTCATCTTTTGGATGATAGCCATTCGAACAGGTGTAGGATGATGTTTCATTGTGGTAGCAGTTTGCATTTTCCTAATAATTCGTGATGATGAGATCTGTTAGCCATTTGTATGACTTATGCCAATAAATGTCTATTTAGGTCCTTTGTCCATTTCTAATTGGGTTCTTTGTTTTCTTGATATCAAGTTGAGTTTCTCATATATTTTGGATATTGGCCTCACATCAGATTTGTGGTTTGAAAATATTTTCTCCCATTCCATAGGATTTCCTTCACTCTGTTAATTGTTCTCTTTGCTGTATAGAAAGTTTTTCGTTTGATTGAATCCTATTTATTGAATTTTGGTTTTGCTGGCTGTGTTTTCAGGGTCATATTCAAGAAATCTTTGCTCAGACCAGTGTTGTGGAGCATTTCACCCAGGTTTTTTTCTAGATGTTTTACAATCTCAGGGCTTATGCTTGTGTTTTTTATCCATTTTTTTAGTGAAATTATGAATATGATGTAAGACAAGGATACAGTTTCATCCATCAGCATATGGATATCTTGTTTATTCAACACCATTTATTGAAGAAAATGACTTTTTTTCTGGTATATTTGTGAAAGATCAATGATCATATATACATGGGTTTATTTCTGCATGTTTTGTCCTGTTTCATTTTTCAATGTGCCTATTTTTATGCCAGTACCATGCTGTTTTGATTACCATAACTTTATATTTTAAAATCGGGGAGTGTGATACTTCCAGCTTTATTTATTGTTGTTTTTGCTCAAAGTTGTTGTGGCTCTTTGAGGTCTTTTGTGTTTCCGTACAGATTTTAAGCTTTGTTTCTATTTCTGTGAAAAATGACATTAAAATTTTGATAGAGATTGCATGAAATTTGTAGTTCACTTTGAGCAGAATGGATAAGATTGCACGAAATTTGTAGTTCACTTTGAGCAGAATGGATATCTTAAATATTTTTTCTTCTAATCCGTGAATATATTTTCCCTTTATTTATGATGTCAACTATTTTTCATAATTGTTTCATAGATTTCAGTATGTAGATATTTCAGCTCCTTGGTTAAATTTACTCCTAAGTGTTTTTGTGCTATTATAAATAACATTGATTTCTTATTTGAATAGTTTTTGTTGTGTAAAGAAACAACACTAATTTTTGTGTGTTAATTTTGTATCCTGCAAAATTACTAAATTTATCAATACTAACAGTTTTTTGGTGGAGTCTCTAGGGTTTTCCACATGATCATCTCATCAAACAGTGACAATTTCACTTCCTTCTCTATTTGGATAACTTTTATTTCTTTTTCTTGTCTAGTTTCTATGGCTAGTATTTCCAGTGTTATGCTGAACAGAATTGATGAGAGTGAGCATCCTTTTCTTATTCCTCATTATAGAGAAAAAACTTGCAACTTTTCACCATTGGGTATGTTAGCTATAGGATTTCCATATATGGCCTTTATCGTGTTGTGGTACATTCCTTCTATACCTAATTTGTTCAAAGTTATTTTTTTTAATCATAAAAGGATGTTGAATTCTGACAAATTCTTTTTCTGCACCTATTGAGATAGTTAGATATTTATATGATTTTGTTACTTATGCTAGGCCCAGGTCCTAGCAATTACATCATGATTTCAGTGACTTTACAGGATGACTTTGACTATCACTTTTACCAAAATAATTGATTTTAGAATCTAGCTCCTGTTGTTAGATCTTATTGTAAATTTATATAGTATAATAACTATACCATTCAATGAAAGAATGGGACATAAAAAGTAGGATGAGACAGCCGTGAAAATGAAAAGGCAGGGAGAATCAGATTGTTGCTGTTGTTTCTTCTGTCATTTATTAATAGGAATGGGAGGCAAAAGGATGTAAGACAATTTATTCCTACCAGAAATCAAGTTATAATAAATGGATTCCCTTTACAAAGGATATTTTTATAAATAGAAGTTATGAGGTTTTGTCATAAAATATCCAAAGGCTTTAGAAACCCAGTAAACAGTTTATACAGAGCTGTCCACCAAAGCACCGGTACAGTCCTTGAAAATGTCAAATTTACTGTATGTCAGCATTTCCCAGAGTATCTGCAAGGAGAATAACTTTCAGAGAGTAAAATAAGAAAGATAAATATTTTGCATGCCTAGCTGCTTGTGAAATTGCCTATATGATTCTGCTCAAGTTACTGAGTACTCTATAAACATTATTCTAATGTATTTTTACAGAATGATTTAGAAGCCTTCCACAATAAGAATCACTGGCCTGGATTTTAAAGCAACTAGCCATAGAAGTTGTCTTGCACAAAGTACATTACCACTTAATTAAAGAATTATTCAACATGACTAAGTTTTCCTGGGCCCTAAATTGTTCTTCTATTCTACAAATCACTTTTTTCCCTTATTAATCACGACGTGGAGAATGTTCAGGAAAACTGTAAAGGTTACCAACTGAGGCTGATCTGGGTTGAAATTCAGTCTTCACCTCATGGAAATTGTGTGATCTTAGGCCATTTATTTTTTTCTTATTTTAGTTCCCTCTTCAGCAAAATTATATACATGTGAGTGTGTGTGTGTGTGTGTGTGTGTATCTCACTGATATTGCAAAAATTAAAGAAAATTTTGTGCCTATAGATTGTGATTCATCGTGCCTCTATTACATGGTAGTTTTCTGGTTTATTTCCTTTAATAAACTGGTATGTATGTATGTATGCTTGCAGTAAGCACTCAAAGTAAAACTTTCAAAAAACAAGAGAGATGGCTGCTTGTCTTTCAAAGAGACACTACCTTGGCAAATTTACAGGAGTCCAGCTCTGAGCCTTGAAAGGCCAGAGGCATGAGCTTCTCACCACCTCAGAATTGGAGTGGTTCAGTTTCATCACACAGATGATAATAAAATGTGCACATATAATTGGACTTGAGTAGATGTTCTGTCCAGTGACATCTTCCCCCTGGGACCACTCTGTACACTATAATGTTTACTTTTGGGTATGCTGGTTATGGAATATGGATATCTGATTTGAATATTTTATTATTAGTCTCTCATAGCCTGTGTGGGCATTTCCATAGGAATATTGTACTTGAGACAGTCACCCTTATAAAGTTAAATACTGACATCTCTGAGCACATTTTTATTGAAGTATATATAAGATTGTATGACTTTTCTTTTTCTAGCCATACCTTAGATTTTTCTTTCTGTATCAACCTTTTCCAGATATATTACTCTCATGTAATATTAGCCTAGAATATCTGTTGTGTCCTTAAGAAGGTTTTGTCTTATATCATAATGTCTTGAGTCATTTGATTGATTCATATAACCAAGCCCTATTCCAAAAATATTTGAAGCAGCTTCATAATATGTAATGGCATAAAATACCACCAAATAAAGCCAAATATGTGAAAATTAGAATAAAGGCCAAATAAACACAGTTATTCTATGAAACCAGGGTTAATTTAACAAATTGAATACACATTGACAAACATACACACGCACACACACACGCGCGTGCACAGAAACAAACATATTTATGTTAAGTTTCAACATTTTCTAAAGGAAAACCATAAATTCAAACTTCGGATTCTAGCAATCAGAGCAAAGTGGAAAACTTTATTATTGTACAATTCATATTCACAACATAAAAAAAGTCAACTAATGTTTATAAGTACAGATACTACAAGGGCTGGGATTTGGAAACATTTCTCTGTAGAGCAGAGGATGAAAATAGGCTGGCTATCTCAGATGGGTCTGTTTAGTTTGGTTTTACTACCCAGCATTTTTTCAAACTTTTGAATTAATTATCAATATGTAAACATCAAGAAGTTTAAACACCAAATTCTGAGTTCCAAATTTCTCTTTACAATAAAAGCAGCTGAACACATTATGCCTATATGCCTGCATGGAGCTGAGTAGCCATGCCTTTGGACAGGATATGTGCTTTTTATTTGACCATGGCTCCCATCAATTCTTGGTGTCAGATGTCATTCATCATCATGCTTGCACCAGTTCAATTTATTTTATATTTAGTGATTTTCTGCCATTTTCCCCAGCTGAATTACCTCATTTCTGTTTCCAGCTGGTCCCTGCAGGCATCTGAGTTTGCACCCCTAGAGTAGATCAAATGTATATTCAATTCCTCTCCATTCAAGCCTTTGGAAGTTTCTCAAAGGCATGATAAGCTAGAAGATAGTCTACTTTTGATTTCCTAGGCTAAACCTGGGAGGGAAGCACAGAAAATCCTGAGAAGGTAATACTCTGAAGTTCATTTATGCTTGTGTTGGCATATATTACTTGAGTGTTTTCTGAAAATGCGATCTATGCCTTCCAAATTATTTTCTGTTTTTGTTAATCATGAAATTCAAACGCAAACATCAAAACAATGCAGAAGCAAAGAAAAATGGCCTGCAGAGAAATCCATCTGGAATTATTATTTTTTCCAAGATGAATGAAAAATTGTACAATGCTCATGTGGATATCTAAAATCTGATCATATTTTATGAAGTCCTCCAAATACTACTACTTTAGATTAATAGGAATTATGTAATTGAGTTTTCATATGTATTTTAAAGTAAATATTTTATTTGAAGTGTAACATATATTTTAAAGTACATAAGTCATAAGCATACAGCTCAATGAATATTTCCAAGTAAATATATTGATATAATCTCCATCACTGAGACTCAAAATAGATTAACAGTCCTCCCTCATTTCCTCTATTGTTTATCAGCTCAAGCCTGCCCCGCCCTTTCACCAAAGATTACTACTCCTTTGTTTTTTAAATCATTTTAACTTATGCATAATAAATTTGCATACTTATGGGGCACCATGCAAAATGTTGATACATTTATACAATGCATAATGATCAAATCAGAGTAATTAACATATCTATCACCTTAAACATTGATCATTTCTTTGTGCCTGGACATTCAAAATCTTTCTTCTGGCTTTTTGAGCTTTTTTGAAAATATAGAATAAATTATTTTTAACTATAGAGACCCTACAATGCTATAGAACACTAGAACTTATTCCTAATAACTAGTTGTAATTTTGTATCTGTTAACCAATCTCTTTTTATCCGCTTTCTCTGCTACCCTTCCCAGCTACTACTTACCACTATTCTGCTATCTAGTTTAAGAGATTAACTTACTTAAGTGCTTTATGCATTTAAGAAACTTCTGCCTGGCTTCCAGTTCATAAAGATGATCTCTTATATCTACTTCTAAGGGTTTTAAAGTTTTCATTTTTAAATTTAAGTTTATGATCCATTTTGAGTTAATTTTATATGTGGTGTAAGAGAGAAATTACGATTCAAGGCTCAGTGGCAGATTAAGATGACAGACAGAAGCAGGACTAGCTAGGAGCAGCTTTCACCCAGACAGACAGAGCAGCATGTAGAGACTCACATCGTGAATTTTTGCTCCAAGAACTACTTCAGGAACATACCAGGAAAGCTAAGAGAATCCACAGACCCTTTGAAGGAACTGGATTGCCACTGAAGGATCTCAGAGATCCCAAAAAACTGTGAGTCTGCTTGCTTTCTCAGTGGGAGTCTCATGGTCTGGGACAACTTCTTAGCCCTGGTCACTGGCTGACTGGAAATTGGAACTTATGTTTAAAGGGGAAGCAGAAAATAAAAGTTTGGAAAATTTAGAGGAACCAACAGTCTCACAAAGTCTTAACACATTCCAGCATTAACTAAAAAGTCCAAGTCCAAAGTCTCATCTGAGCAAGGAAAATCCCTTCTGTCTATGAGCCTGTAAAATAAAAAACAAATTAGTAACTTCCAAGTTCCAACTGGGGTACAGGCATTAGGTAAATCTTTCCATTGCAAATGAAAGAAGTTGACCAAAACACAGGGGCCACAAGCCCCATGCAAATCCACAACCTAGTAGGGCGGTAATTAAATTTTAAAGCTCCAAAATTTCCTTTGACTCCGTATCTCACAGTCAGAGCAAACTGATGCAAGGGGTAGGCTCCCATGGTCTTGGGTAGCTCTAACTCTTTCGCTCTGCAGGGTACAGCCCCCACAGCTGCTTTTATGAGCTGGCATTGAGTGCCTGAGACTTTTCCAGGTGCATGTTGCAAGCAGTCAGTGGATGTACAATTCTGGGGTCTGAAGGCTGGTGACCCTCTTTTCAAACCTCCATTAGGCAGTGCCCAAGTGAGGACCCTGTGTGGGAGCTCCAACCCCACATTTCCCCTCTGCATTGTCCTAGTAGAAGTTCTCCATGAGGGCTCTTGCTCTGCAGCAGACTTCTGCCTGGATATCCAGGGATTTCCACACATCCTCTGAAATCTAGGTGGAGGTTCCTAAAGCTCAATTCTTGTCTTCTGTGCATCCACAGGCCCAACCCAACATGGAAGCTGCCAAGGCTTGGGGCTTGCATCTTCTGAAGTGATGGTCTAAGCTGTACCTTGGCCTCTTTTAGCCACTGGAGCTGGAGTGGCTGGGATGCAGGGCCCCTAGTCCTGAGGCTGCACAGAGCAGCAGGGCCCAGAGCCTGGATCATGAAACCATTTTACCCTTTAAGGCATTGGGTCTTGTAATGGGAGGGGCTGCAACAAAGATCTCTGACATGCCCCAGAGACGTCTCCCCAATGTCCTGACTATTAACATTTGTCTCCTTGTTACTTAGTCAAATTTCTGTAGCCTGCCTGAATTTTTCCACAGAATTTTTTTTCTATAATACCTCATCGTCAGGCTCGAAATTTTCCAATCGTTTATGCTCTGCTTCCCCTTTAAACATAGGTTCCAATTTCAAACCATCCCTTAGTGAACACATATAACTGTACTTTCAGGAAAAGCTGGGTCACGTCTTGAATATTTTGCTGCTTAGAAATTTATTCTGCCAGATACCCTAAATAATCTTTCTTAAGTTCAAACTTCCACAGATCTTTAGGGTAGGGGCAAAATGTCACCAGTTTCTTTGCTAAAGCATAGCAAGAGTGACCTTTGCTTTGGTTTCCAATAAGTTTTTAATATCCAACTGAGACCACCTCAGCCTGGACTTCATTGCCTATATCACTATCAGCATTTTTGACACTACCATTCAACAAGTCTCTAGGAAGTTCTAAATTTTCTCACATTTTTCTGTCTTCCTCTGAGCCCTCCAAACTGTTCCGACCTCTGCCTGTTACCCAGTTCCAAAGTTGCTTCCACATTTTCAGGTTATCATTATAGTAGCACCCCACTCCTGATAGCAATTTTCTGTATTACTTTGTTCTCACACTGCTATAAAGATACTACCTGAGACTGGGTAATTTATAAATAAAGGAGGTTTAATTGACTCACAGTTCTGCATGGCTGGGGAGGCCTCAGGAAACTTACAATAATGGCAGAAGGGGAAGGGGAAGTAAGGCACATCTTACATGGTGACAGGAGAGAGAGAGAGCACAGGGGAAACTGCCACTTTAAAAATCATCACGTCTCATGAGAACTCCTTCAATATCACAAGAACAGCATAGGAGAAACCACCACCATGATGCAATCACCTCCCACCAGGTCCCTCCTTCAACACTTGGGGATTACAATTTGAGATGAGATTTGGGTGGGGACACACAGCCAAACCATATCATATGGCAATATGTAAGTTGGTCAATGTCTTGACTGTATTTTGTTCCATCGATCTACTTTTATCCAAATATTATATTATCTTAATTACTGTAGGTTTATGTGTTAAAATCAGATGGTGCAAATATTCCTATTTTATTTTTTATTGATACATATAGTGGTACCTGTTTTTGAGGTAGATGTGATATTTTGATACATGCATACAAGGGGTAATGATAAAGCCAGAGCAATTGGAACATTCATCAACTCAAATATTCCCTCTTCTTTATGTTGGAAACATTTCAATTTCTCTTATCCATCCATTTTGAACTGTACAAAAAATGATTTTTAACTATAGTCACCCTACTGTACTATCAAATGCTGGCTCTTATTATTTCTATATAACTATATTTTTGTACCCACTTACCAACCTCTCTTCATCCTACTATATCTTTGATTCTTCTCAGTCTCTAATAACCACTAGTCAACTCTTCTATCTCCATGAAATCCACTTTTGTAGCTTCCACATATAAGTAAAAACATGTGATATTTATCTTTCTGTGTCTGGCTTATTTCACTTAACATAATGACCTCCAGTTCCATCCAAGTAACTGCAATTGGCAGGATTTTATTCTTTTTTATGGTTGAACAATATTGCATTGTGAATATGTGCCACATTTCCTTTATTCTTTCATTCATTAATTGACACTTAGATTGATTTCTTATCTTAGCTATTGAGAATAGTGCTGTAATAAACATGGGAGTGTAAATATCTCTTTGATATACTAATTTACTCTCTTTTGGATATTTATCTAGTAGTGGAGTTGCTAGATTATATGGTAGTTTATTTTTATTTCTTGAAAAACCTCCATAATGTTTTCCATAGTGGATGTACTAATTTACATTCCCACCAACAGTGTTACAAAATTCCCCTTTCTCCACATCCTTGCCAGCTTCTGTTATTCCCTGTCTTTTTGATAAAGGTCATTTTACCTAGAGGGAGATAATATCTTCTTGTGACTTGAATTTGCATTTTCCTAATGATTATTGATATTGAGCAGTTTTTCATATACCTGTTGGTCATTTGCATTTCTTCTTTTGAGAAATGTCTATCCAGATATTTGGCCATTAAAATCAGATTTTTTTTTTTTACTTTTTGCTTTTGAGTTGTTTGAGTTCCTTATATATTCTGATTATTAATACTTTGTTGGATGAATAATTTGCAAATGTTTTCTTAACTTCTGTAGGTTGTCTTTTCACTTTGTTTATTGTTTTATTTGTTGTGCAGAAGCTTTTTAGTTTAATATAGTCCCATTTATCTATTATAGCCTTTGGTGTCTGTGCTTCTGAAGTCCTACCTAAAAAAAGTCTTTGCTTAGACCAATGTTATGAATCATTACCCCAATGGTTCTCTCTCGAGGTTTCATGGTGGTAGGTCATACATTTAAACTTTTATTCCATTTTGATTTCATTTGACTTGTAATATGGTGAGAGATAGAGATCTAGCTTAAATCTTCTGTATATGACTACCCACAGTTCCCAGCACCTTTTGTTGAAAAGACTGCCCCCTTTTCAATGTATATTTGTGGTACCCCTGTCAACATTGAGTTTGCTATAAATTCATGCATTTATTTATGGGTTCTGTATTCTGTTTCATTGCTCTATATGTTTGCTTTTATGTTAGCGCTATGCTGTTTCTGTTGCTATGGCTTTGTAGTATATTTTAAAGTCAGGTAGTGTGGTAACTCCAGCTTTGTTATTTTTTGCTCAGAATTGTATTAGCTATTTAGGGTCTTTTGTGGTTCCATACAAATATTAGGACTTTTTTGTTTTATTTCTGTGAAGAACATCATTTATGTTTTCATGGGAATGTCATTAAGTCTACAGAATTTTTATTGTAGTATAGACATTTTAACTGTATTAATCATTCTGATCCATGAGCATAGGATGTCTTTGCATTTGTTTGTGTCCTCTTGAATTCTTTTTCATCATTGTTTCGTACCTTTCCTTGAGATCTTTCACCTCAGTTAAATTTATTCCTAGAGCTTTTTTTTTTTGTAGCTATTACAAATGGAATTTCCTTCTTGATTTTTTCTCAGCTAGTTTATTACTGGTACATACATGTGCTACTGTCTTCTGTGTACTGACTTTGTATGCAGCAACCTTAATGAGTTTATTTATCAGTTCTAAGAGATTTTTGGTGGAATCTTTATGTTTTGCTAAATATAGTATGTCATGCATGCCCAAGAATAATTGGACTTTTTCTACATATGTTTCCTTTTTTTTTTTTTAATGGAGACGATGTCTCACTATGTTTTCCAGGCTGGCCGCAAACTCCTGAGCTCAAGTGATCCTCCCACCTTGGCCTCCCAAAGTGCTAGAATTACAGGCATGAGCCACCAGGACTGGCCTAATTTGACTTTTTCTTTTCCAATTCTGTTGCCTTTCATTTCTTTTTCTTGCCTAATTCCTATAGCTAGTACGTCCAGTACCATATTGAATAAAAGTGGTAAAACTGATCATCCTTGTCTTGTTTCAGATCTTAAAGGAAAAGCTTTCAACTTTACTACATTTAGTATGGTGTCAGCTATGAACTAGTCATATATGGCCTTTATTGTTTTAAGGTATGTTCCTTCTATACCCAGTTAAATTTGTTTGCTTGCTTATACTCAGTGAATTATTTTTGTTTTCGTGGAGACAGAGTCACACTGTGTGGCCAGGGTGGTCTCTAACTCCTGAGCTCAAGTGATCCTCCCAGTTCGGCCTCCAAAAGTGCTGGAATTACAGGAGTGAGCCACTGTACCCAGCCTATGCTTAGGCTGTTTTTTGTTTTAAGAATTTTTTTATCACAGGTTATTGGAGAACAGGTGGTATTTGGTTACATGAGTAAGTTCTTTAGTGGTGATTTGTGAGATTTTGGTGCACCCATTTCCTGAGAAGTGTACACTGAACCCAACTTGTAGTATTTTATCCCTCACCCCCTTCCCAACCTTTCCCCTTGAGTCCCCAAAGTCGATTGTATCATTCTCATGCCTTTGCATCCTCATAGCTTAGCTTCCACTTATGAGAACATGCAATGTTTGCTTTTCCATTCCTAAGTTACTTCACTTAGAATTATAGTTTCCAATCCCATCCAGGTTGCTGCAAGTGCCATCAATTCATTCTTTTATGGCTGAGTAGTATTCCATCATATATATATATATATACACACACACACACACACACACACACACATACATACATACATATATATATATAATCACAGTTTCTTTATCCACTCACTGTTTGATGGGCATTTTGGCTGGTTTCACATTTTTTCAGTTGTGAATTGTGCTGTTATAAACATGATTAAGCAAGTATCTTTTTCGTACAATGACATTTTCCTCTGGGTAGATACCCAGTAGTGGGATTGCTGAATCAAACGGAGGTTCTACTTTTAGTGCTTTGAGGAATCTCCACACTGTTTTCCATAGTGGTTGTACTAGTTTACATCTCCACCAGCAGTGTAGAAGTGTTCCCTTTTCTCCACATCCACGCCAACATGTTTGTTTTTTTTTTTTATTTTGTTTTGTTTTTTGTTTGTTTGTTTTGAGACGGAGTCTCGCTGTTGCCCAGGCTGGAGTGCAGTGGTGCAATCTCAGCTCACTGCAAGCTCCACCTCCCAGGTTCATGCCATTCTCTTGCCTCAGCCTCCCAAGTAGCTGGGACTACAGGCTCCTGCCACCATGCCCAGCTAATTTTTTGTATTTTTAGTAGAGATGGGGTTTCACCGTGTTAGCCAGGATGGTCTTGATCTCCTGACCTCATGATCCACCCATCTTAGCCTCCCAAAGTGCTGGGATTACAGGCCTGAGCCACCGCGCCTGGCCTTTTTTTCTTTTTCTTTCTTTTTTTTTTTTTTTTTTTTTTTGAGAAGGAGTCTCGCTCTTCCGCCCAGTCTGGAGTGCAGTGGTGCCATCTTGGCTCACTGCAACCTCCACCTCCAAGGTTCAAGCAATTCTCCTGCCTCAGTCTCCTGAGTAGCTGGGATTACAGGCACCTACCACCACACCTGGCTAATGTTTGTATTTTAGTAGAGACAGGGTTTCACCATGTTGGTCAGGCTGGTCTCAAACTCCTCACCTCAATTAATTAGCCCACCTCAGCCTCCCAAAGTGCTGGGATTACACATAAGCCACCACACCTGGCCTATTTTTTTAATTTTTTGATTATGACCATTCTTGTAGGAGTAAGGTAGTATCACATTGTGGTTTTGAATTTTCCTGATTAGTGAGTTTGAGCATTTTTTTCATATTCTTGTTGGCCATTTATATAGTTTCTTTTGAGAACTGTCTATTCATGTCTTTAGCCCACTTTTTGATGGGACTGTTTGTTTTTTTCTTGTTAATTTGTTTGAGTTGATTGTAGATTCTGGATCTTAGTACTTTGTCAGATGTATAGATTGTGAAGTGAGTTTTTATCATAAAGAGATGCTAAATTATGTTGAATGTTTTTCCAGCATCTATCAAAATGATCATACAGCTTTTGTTCTCATTAATGTGATGTAGCACGTTTATTGACTAGAATATGTTGAACCATGCTTGCATCTCTGCGATGAATTTCACTTTATCATGGTGAATAACTTTTTAATGTGTTATTAAATTTGGTTTGATAGTATGTTGTCAAGAATTTTTACATCTAATTTCCTCAGGGTTTGGCCTGTAGTTGTTGTTGTTTCCTTGTCTGGTTTTCATATCAGCATAATACTAGCCATGCAGAATAAGTTTGAAAGTATTCCTTCTTCTTCTTCTTCCTCTTCTTCTTCTTCTTCTTCTTCTTCTTCTTCTTCTTCTTCTTCTTCTTCTTCTTCCTTCTTCTTCTTCTTCTTCCTTCTTCTTCTTCTTCTTCTTCTTCTTCTTCTTCTTCTTCTTCTTCTTCTTCTTCTTCTTCACTTTTTTGGAATAGTTTGAGTAGAATTGGCATTGGTTTTTAATCTTTGGGAAAATTAGGCAGTGAAATCATCATGTCCTGGGCTTTTCTTTGATGGAGGACATTGGGTTACTGCTTGGATCCTATTACTCATTGTTGATTGCTCCAGTTTTCTATTTTGTTATGGGTCAGTCTTGGTAGATTTGGTATATCCATGAATTCATTTGTTTCTTCTAAGTTTTCCAATTTGTGCATAGGTGTTTATAATGTTCTCTAGTAACCCTTTGAATTTCTGTGTTATTAGTTGTTATGTATTCCTTTTTATTTTGGAATTTATTTATTTGGGGCTGTTCTCTTTTTTTCTTGGAAACTATGTTTATTATCTTTACAAAATTTTTTTATTGCTCTTTTGTATTTATTTGTCTCAATTGTGTTCATTTCTGCTCTTTTTTTTTTTTTTTTTTTTTTTTTTTTGCTTATTTCCTTCCACCAATTTTGGCTTTGGTTTCTTCTTGCTTTTTTAGTTCCTTGAGGTGCATCATTAACTTGTTTATTTGAAGTCTTTCTACTTTTTTGATGTAAGTCTATTTATTGTTGTACACTTTCTTTTTAGCACTGCTTTTGTTGTATGGCATAGATTTTGATATGTTGTATCTTCATTTTCATTTTGTTCAAGAAATTCTAAAATTTTCTTTAACAATGAGCCAGGGCTAATGTGATTCTCTCACCTCACTCCCCGAGTAGCTGGAACTACAGATATGTGCCAACACACCTGGCTAATTATTTTATTTTTCATAGAGATGGGGTCTCACTATGTTGCCCAGGCTAGTCTCAAACTCCTAGGCTCAAGCAATCCTCCCACCTCGGCCTCCCAAAGTGCTGGGATTACAGGCATGAGCCACCACACCTCACCATAATTTCTTTATTGATCCAGTGATTCATTAAGAGCATGTTATTTAATTTTATGTGTTTGTAGTTTCCAAAGTTCCTCTTGCTATTGTTTTCTAGTTTTATTCCATTCCATTGTGGTTGGAAAAGATATTTGATATGATTTTAACTTTTCTGAATTTGTTGAGACTTACTTTGTGTATTTACATATGGTCTATCCTGGAGATTCTATCATATAATGATGCGAAAAATGTATACTCTTGAAGCAGTTGGATAAAATTTTCTGTAAATGTCAGTTAGGTCCTGTAAAGGTCTATAGTGTAGTTTAATTCTGATGTTTCTTTGCTAATTTTCTGTCTCAATGATCTATCTGATGCAAAGAATGGGATGTTCAGGCTCTCAAATATTATTGTATTGGAGTCTATCCCTCCTTTTAGATCTAAAAATATTTGCTTTATATATCTGGGTGCTCTAATGTTGAATGCATATACATTTAGACTTGTTATATCCTCTTGCTGAATTTAACACATTATCATTATATAATGACATTCTTTGTTTCTTTTTAATGTTTTAGACTTAAAATCTGTTTATCTCATATAGATATAGCTACTCCTAATCTTCTATGTTGCCATTTGCATAGAATATCTTTTTCCATCCCTTTACTCTCAGTTTAGGTATGTCTTTACAGGTAAAGTGAATTTCCTGCAGGTAGCATATGGTTAAATTGTTTTTGTTTTTATTGCTCTTGTTATTTGACCACTCTATGCCACTTAATTGGAGAATTCAGTCTATTTACTTTCAGTGTTATTGTTGAGAGCTAAGGAGGTACTACTGTCATATTGTTACTTGTTTTTTGGTTGATTTGTAACTTCTCTTTTCCTTTTTTCCACCTTACTTACTGTCTTCCTTTGTGGTTACGTAATTTTCTTTGATAATATTTTTAAATGTGTTGCATTTTATTTTTGGTGTATCTATGATAGGGTTTTGCTTTGTGGTTATCATGAGGCTTACAAAAATATCTTAAAGATATAAACAGTTATTGTAAACAGACAATTTTGACCATTAAGAAAAAAAAGAAACAAAAAAAGAGAAAGAACTGAAATACTCTACACTGTAACTCTATCCGCCAACATTTTGATTTCTTATGGTCTCAATTTACATTTTTTATATTGTCTATCACTTAACAGGCTTCTGTAAATGTTATTAGTTTTGATAGATTTGTCTTTTAGTCTTCAGACTGGAGATATAAGTGGATCACACACAATTACAATATTAGAGTGTTCTGAATTTTTTTGTGTACTTACTTTTATCAGTGAGTTTTACATCTTCAAATGTTTTCTTTTTCCACATTAGTGCTCTTTTGATTCAGGTTGAAGAACTTCCTTTAGCATTTCTGTAAGACAGATCTAGTGATGATTTTTCCCCCCAGCTTTTGATTTTCTGGGAAAAATTTTTTCTCTCCTTAATGTTTGAAGAAAATCTTTGCTGGGCATAGTGTTCTCAGTTGACAGTTAAGATTTTTTCCAGCACTTTCCATATACCTTCTCTCCCTCCTTTCCTTCATGGGTTCCTCTGGGAAGTATGTGGCCAAACAAAGCAGATCTCCCTTTATGTGTTATTTGCTTCTTTTATTTTTGCTGTTTTAAGATCCTCTCTTTGTTCTTGACCTTTGAGCATTTGATTATTATATACCTTGGGATAGTCTTCTGTTGAATCTGTTTGGTGACATCTAACCTCGCCATGCCTAGATTTATATATATTTTTCTAGGTTTGGAGTGTTTTATATTATCATATTTTTGAATACGTTTTCTGCCTCTTGCTTTTTCTCACCTCCCTCTTGAACATGAATGACTTAGATTTATACTTTGATATTATTTTCTATATCCTGTCAGATTTTTTTATTCTTTTTTTCCCCTGACTGTATCTTTTCAAACAGCCTGTCTTTGAACTCACTGGTTCTTTTCTCTACTTGAATCCATTCTGCTATTGAGAGCCTCTAATGCATTTTTTTATTCCGCAAATGTATTCCTTAGTTCCAAGACTTCTGTTTGATTTGTATAAATTATTTTAATATCTTTGTTAAATTTCAATACATTTTTGCATTGCTTTTTTGTGTTATATTGAAGTTTGCTGACTTTCCTTAGAATTGCTATTTTGAATTACTGATTTAGATGCTCACAAATCATAATCTCATTAGGGTTGATCACTGCCTCCTTATTTTGTCCATTGGGGTGATCATGGGTTTCTGTTTGCTGTTATGTATAGCTGTTGCTTCACATTGAATAATTAGTTATTTATTCCAGCCTTTGCTGTCTGGCTTGTTTTGGTCTTTCTAGGGCATAGTTGCTTAGAGGTCTTTGCAGTTGCCTTTTGAGTCCCCTTTATCCTAGATCTCTGCTTCTTTTCAGCACTAGCTTGTGCCTTAAGCCCAAATTTGCCTCAGCTCTCATAAACATTCAGAGCGCTCCCCATCCTTAATTGGAGTGGGGGTGGGCAAAGCAGATAGCCCAGCTGTGTAAGATGGCTGGCTAGGGGTTCATGCACAGAAGACTCATGAGTGTGCCTCCTACAGGATGGTGCTGCTTAATATCTACTTTGATTTGCCATCTCCTTTGACTGAAATAAAGAGCACAGTTTGTCAGAGGCTGAGCTTTCTAGTCCTACCACCCCTCTTTGCCTAGAAATGCTCTCAGAGTTTTTTCTTTCTACATGCACCTGCAGTGCTTTTCATGGGTTAAGGCAGGTTCCTGAATGTGAACCTAAGATAGTGAGAAAGCTGGATGTCTGCCTCAATCTCATTTTTTCCAGTAAAACAACTCTGAGTTCAGTGGGAATTTCCTGCATGTGGTGCTTGGCAGATTGGGGAAGGCTTTACTTGGATAGAGAAGGTCATTTCTTTTACCATCTTCTCAGAGTCTTTCAATTTTCGGTGTGCTTAGGGATTGTCTCAGTGTTTGATCTCAGTTCTGGATATTGCTGATGATAAGCTTGGTGCTGTGTTTTTTTCATTTTGTTTTGTTTTCTGTAAGGACCATGAACTCAGGTTGATTCTACTATGCCATTTTGGTGACATCACTTTCACTCTTGACTATTATCACAATGGATTAATTCTGCCTATTTGTTGATTTTATGTAAATAAAATCATATAATGTGTAACACTGTTTAACAATTCATTATTTCAACATTATGTTTAGAGGTTAATTCATGTTTTTATATTACCATTAGTTTGCATTTTTGTTGCTATTTTGTATTCCATGGTATAAACTAAAAGGTATTTATTTTACTATAGATGGAAATTTGAATTGTTTCTAATTGTGATTATTATTAATTGTGCTTCTGTGAGTATACTTGTGTGTGGCCTTTGTTGCATACATTTACATATTTCTGTTATGTGGGAAGAAATACTGGGTAACAGGGTTTGCTTATACTCTGCTGTAGTGTCTACTGCCACACAATTTTCCAAAATGGTTGAATCAACTTAAAATCCCACCAGCAATGTAGGATAGTTCCAGTTATTCCACATCCTAAACCAATACTATTACTGCTCCCAAATCAAAAAAAAAAAAAAAACAGAGATACTTTCATATCTTCTTTTCAATGCTTAATAGGAGTGATAATATTGGGCCTCTGTGTGTGTTTCTTGATTACAGAGGTAAAACTGCCAACATTAACCTTTAAGAATAACATTTTCTCCAAGTTTGTTATACATAATCTTTACCAGAATAAGGCAATTATATTAATAGACATCAATAGTTTTAATTGTGATGGATGTTATTTGTATATATTTTTTCTATCTGGACATAATTATTTTTAATTTCTTTTTTCAACTAATATAATAAAATGCCTTTAATTTTAATTCTTAATCCACTCTTACATTATGATTTCCCATTGTATTTTATCTTCTTTTATAGCAATACATACTGTGTTACATATTCTAAGGCCATGCTATGAAGTACACATAAATTTGTAATAGCTGTCTTCCCTGTGGCTTGACTCTTATACCATGATATATTATTTTCATTCATGCTCTTGAGCTAAACTCTATTTGTAATCATTTTAATTTCTTGGTAATAAATTTTCACATCATGTTTATTCTGAGAGGGAATCTCACTCTGTCTCCAGGCTGGAGTACAGTGGCACGATCTCAGCTCACCACAACCTCTACCTCCTGGGTTCAAGCGATTCTCATGCCTTAGCCCCCCAAGTAGCTGGAATTACGGGTGTGTGCCACCACACCCAGCTAATTTTCATATTCTTATTAGAGAAGGGGTTTCACCATGCTGGCGAGGATGGTCGCGACCTACTGACCTCATGATCCACCCGTCTTGGCCTCCCAAAGTGTGGGGATTACAGGCATGAGCCACTGCACCCGGCCATCATGTTTATTCTTATACTTCCAAACTTCATGGGCTCTTACCTACTTTTCTTAGATTTAATAATTTAACTATGAGGTGCTTACATGTGGCTTTTATTACATTTATTTGAGTTTGTGTTGTAAAATGCTTTGAATTTGTGTATTTATGTCTATTGTTCATTTTTAAAACTTCGCAGCCACTATATCTTTACCTAATGGTTTGGCCCTGTCTTGCCTCTCTTTCAGAGATTCTAATTATATGTAAGTAAGTTATCTTACCATTTTCCATATGTCTCTCATGCTCTTCTCCTCCTTCCTTGTTTCCTCTTCCTCCTCTTCCTCCTTTCTTCAGTTGCTTGTACTCCAGCCAGGATAGTTTCTACAAAAGTTTCTTAATCCTTTCTTTAGTTGCTGCTCATTTGCTGTAAACCCAGATATTGAGTTATTGATATGTTATTTTTTTAATTCTAAAGTTCTTTTTGATTATTTTATAGGTTATGCTTTATAATTCAATTATCCTACTTGTCACTTATTTACTTGTATATGTTAATCAGAATTATAATGGTTTTTATATGTATTGCTTTCTTATATTTTTGAACCATTCTATGTAGTCATTAGTGATACGCAATACATTGCAACTGCAAATATTAAAGGATTCAAAAATATACAATTTGACATGCACATGTATCTGTGAAAATAATCCCATACTCAAGACAATCAGCATATTAATAATTCCTAAAAGTTTCTGAAGCCACCAGATCTGCTGTTACTATAGATTGGTTTGCATATTCTAAAAATTTTATAAAAATGGAATCGTGAATAGTGTACTGTTTTGTTTTTATTTTTGATTAATAGTTCATTGTATGAATATACTAAAATATGCTTATCCATTTACCATACGATGATCATTTGGGTTGCTTAGACATTTGCACACAAGTTTTGCTTTTGTGTTTATAATTAGCATTTGACTTCTTTCCTCTTGGGTAAATACCTAGGATAGAAATTGTTTAATCATATAGTAGATAATACAGTTTGGATATTTGTCCCCTCCAAATCTTATGGTGAAATATGGACCCCAACGTTAAAGGTGGGCCAAGGTGGGAGGTGTTTTGGTTATGGAGGCAGATCTCTCAATAAAAACAGCTTGCTATGATCACAGTGATGAGTGGCTTCTTCCTCTATTTGTTCACATGCAAGCTGTTTGTTTCGAACAGTGTGGCACCCTTCCCCCCCCCACCCCGCCCCTTTCTCACCCTTCCTTCCTCTTATCATGTGATCCCTGATCCTCTTCACCTTCCACCATGATCAAAAGTTTCCTGAAGCTCTCACCAGAAGCAGATACGGGCACCATGCCTATTTTACCATCTATAGGATTATAAGCCAAATAAACTTCCTTTCTTTGTAAATTACCCAGCCTCATGTATTTCTTTACAGCAACGAAAATGGACTAAGATAGTAGATAAATATATAACATTTTAAGAAGCTGCTAAATTATTTTTCAAAGTAATGGTGACATTCCTACTACATTCTCAACAACAGTATATGAGAGCTCCAGTTGTTCCATAGTCTTGCTCACTCTTTTTAATTTTAGCCAATCTAATAGCTATTTCCTTTTAATTTGGAATTGTCTAAGTACTAATAACTTTCAGCATCTTCTCATGTGTTTATTTGCCATGTACGTATCTTCTTCGGCAAAGCGCCTGTTCCAATATTTTCCCCATTTTCTATTTGAAAAACTATTAGAACTAAAATGAGTGAGTTTTGAAAGCTTATATAATACAAGATCAATATACAACATTCATTTTTATCTCTACATATTAGCAGTATGCAATCAAATTTGAAATTTTAAAATCATCACATATGATATCATCATAAAATACTCAATACTTAATGATAAATCTGAAAAAAATATGTGCAAGATTTGTACACTGAAGAATAAAAAGTTATTACAAAGTTAAAAAAACTAAATAAAAAGATATACCATGTTTATGATTTGAAAGACTCAATATTTTCAATGTATTGATTCCTCTCCAAATAGACATAGATTAATATAATCTCAAACAAATGCAAGCAAGCTTTTTTTTCCATAAATTAGCTGATTCTTCAAGATGGATTAAAGACTTAAATATTAGACCTAAAACCATAAATACCCTAGAAGGAAACCTAGGCAGTACTATTCAGGACATAGGCATGGGCAAGGACTTCATGTTTAAAACACCAAAAGCAATGGCAACAAAAGCCAAAATTGACACATGAGATCTAATTAAGCTAAAGAGCTTCTGCACAGCAAAACAAACTACCATCAGAGTGAACAGGCAACCTATAGAATGGGAGAAAATTTTTGCTATCTACTCATCTGACAAAGGGCTAATATCCAGAATCTACAATGAACTCAAATAAAGTTACAAGAAAAAAACAAACAACCTCATCAAAAAGTGGGCAAAGGATATGAACAGACACTTCTCAAAAGAAGACATTTGTGCAGCCAAAAGACACATGAAAAAATGCTCATCATCACTGGCCATCAGAGAAATGCAAATCAAAATCACAATGAGATACCATCTCACACCAGTTAGAATGGCGATCTTTAAAAGGTCAGGAAACAACAGGTGCTGGAGAGGATGTGGACAAATAGGAACACTTTTACACTGTTGGTGGGACTGTGAACTAGTTCAATCATTGTGGAAGTCAGTGTGGCGATTCCTCAGGGATCTAGAACTAGAAATACCATTTGACCCAGCCATCCCATTACTGGGTATATACCCAAAGGATTATAAATCATGCTGCTATAAAGACACATGCACACGTATGTTTATTGCGGCACTATTCACAATAGCAAAGACTTGGAACCAACCCAAATGTCCAACAATGATAGACTGGATTAAGAAAATGTGGCACATATACACCACGGAACACTATGCAGCCATAAAAAATGATGAGTTCATGTCCTTTGTAGGGACACGGATGAAGCTGGAAACCATCATTCTCAGCAAACTATCACAAGGACAAAAAACCAAACAGTGCATGTTCTCACTCATAGGTGGGAATTGAACAATGAGAACACATGGACACAGGAAGGGGAACATCACACACCGGGGCTTGTTGTGGGGTCGGGGGAGGGGGAAGGGATAGCATGACGAGATATAAGTAATGTTAAATGACAAGTTAATGGGTGCAGCACACCAACATGGCACATGTATACATATGTAACTAACCTGCAGGTTGTGCACATGTACCCTAAAACTTAAAGTATAATAAAAAAAATTAGCTGATTCTAAACTTCATGTAAAACTAAAAAGGGCTGAGAATATCTAGAATAACTTTGAAAAAGAGCAAATTGGGAAAACTATCACTAATTGATGTCAAGACGTATAAAGATACAATAGTTAATAGCATGCGTTTTTTATATAAGTCAATGGAACAGAATAGAGAGCACAGAAGAGATCTCCACATGTATGAACAACTGATTTTTCTCAGAGGCACAAAGACAATTAATGGAGAAAGAGTAGTTTTTTCCCAAGTGGTGCTCAAATATATGATGAGCTTTGATATATATCGCATATCATATACAAAAATTATGCAAAATAGATAATAGATTTAAAATTCATACCTAAAACTGTAAAATTTCTGAAAGTTACTATAGGAAAAAATTGTAATCTAGACTTAAGCAAGGATTTCTTAAATAATACATAAATAAAATCAATAAAAAATAAAATTGATAGAGCGTCATTCTTTTATTTTTTAAAAGATACTGTTATATGAATAAAGGATAAGCCATTGATAAGTAGAAAACACTTCCAAATCATGTCTCTAATAAAAGACCTCTATGTAAATATATAAAGCCCTTATCTTGCTATAATTCGACTATCTGGATCATCTGTAGGTTCCATCTCAGTGTCTATCTCTTGGTTTAAGGTCATCTGGTCTTACCTACTGGCATATTTGGCAATTTTCATGGAATTCAATATTGTATTTATAAACTTGCAGTAATTCTGTACTATATTCTCTTCCTTCAGATAAAATTCACTTTTGTTTGGCAGGTAGTTACAGTAGAAACAATCAACACAATGCTAATTAAGAAATGAAATTGTTTGAGGGAAGATTTAAGCATATTTTGACTGCTTTTTTAAAATTTTGATTTGTTCTCTTTCCTAGGGTGTGGACTTCATCACAGCTCAAACTCTGGAATGTTAATCAAGTCCCCTCATTCCTAGTTGGCCCTGAAACCTAATTACTTTTTTACTCTAGTGACATAAGACTATAAAAAGCCTTACTTATATTTTTAGCTTCGAATTTGCAAGTTGGCTATCAGTATTCACACGTTAAAAATCAACAAATGTCTCAAATGCAAAAGTGATAGAGGATTCTGGACTCACATAAATATGTTACTTTACCCTCTAAGATATTGATCCTCCAAATTCTGAATTGTTTGGCTCCTCAAATGATGATATCAAAGAGTTATTTTGTAAGATTAATTTTCTATAGCTTTTAGAGTAGTTGACAACAAGGATATTTGTCTGATAGAAGATACTCTGTCATTGATGGAAGTGGATTTATCTCTCCCAGGTAATTTAATAAAATAAAGTCATTAAATATAAGACAGAAAATGCCATATAGTTTTCTCCAAGGGTTCTGAGCCATTCATAGAGTTCATATCATCAATCTTTACCATAACCTTGTCAACACTGGTAACTCATTAACTGTCCAAAGGTCACCCAACAAACCCATGAGAGGTCCAGAAATAAAAGCTGAATGCTCAGCTTAATCCCCAGAGCCACATAGACTACTGATGCCTGGTATAAAAATTAATCTTGATTTAGGAAGTACTAAGTAATTCTATCAGTGAGCTATCTGTCATTTTCTCAGTCACATATCCTCTACAGAAAAAAGAAAAGGAGGAGATGAGATAATTGTGGTCTCAGATTTTCAGTAAGATTAGCGATGTGTTATTTTTAAAATATTAATTCTTATTTTTTTCTGTTTATGACAGTAAAATTCAAAGGGCAAAAAAAATCTGATTTCTGATTATGCTTACGAGAAACTTGGACAAAATGACAAACTGATCCTGTAGTTGGTGGATCCTGCATTAAGATGAGGTAGGAACCAGTACATGATTTCAACATTCCCCCAGAAGTAACCATTCAGTTATTTATTCAATAATTATTTATTCAATATAGACCATGCAAATGACATTATTTGTGCTAGTTGCATAGCAGTATACAAAACACAGATGTCCCCAAACACATAAAACATACATTCTTGTAGAGAAAAGAGATAATAAATCAATATATAATGTACATGTCAAGAAGTAATAAATATTATAAAAAAGTGGTGCCACTATAGAAAAGAGCAGGAATGCTATTTTAAACAGGGTGTCCAGGGAAGGCCTTTCTGAAAAAGTAACTTTTGAACAGAGGCTTTCATGAAATCAGGGTTAGAAAACAACCTTGTAAATTCTGTGGAAGTACATTCCAGGCAGATGGAAGAGAAAGTGGAAGGACTGTAAAACAGAAAAGGTTTTTGTATACTTGAGGAAGAACAAATAAGGCAACTATTGGAGTGCTGGGGGAAGATAAGGGGTTTGGAAATGAGATAGGATAGAGAAAAGATAGCAAAACCAGGTATGAACTAAGGACTTGAGTGAGAAGAACAAAAGTAGAGGAATAATAGAAACAGGGACACTAGTTAGGAAGCAGTAATCAAGGTGAGATAGTGGTGGTGTGGACTAAGATAGGGGGAGAGTTAGAGCTGAGAAGTGGAGGGACTTTGAGTAGACTTTGTTGATAGAAATGTCAGGATTTTCTGATGAATTAGATGTAGAAAAATGTGAGAAGCAGAGGTTTTTGGAAATGCAAATGGTAGAGTGGTGGTACACATTATAGAGAAAAATCACACTGGAAGAAAGGCAGATCTAGGGAGAAAATCACCAACATTTTTATCCCAGATCCTTCACTGGCTTCCAAGTCATTAATAAAAAATGCAACAGATAAAAATCCTTATCACCTATTAATTTGCTTCTCTATCTCGTACCCTTTCATCTCTAAGAACACGAGTAATCTGTGAGACCAATTATAGATTTAAAGGATATATTAAGTCATAAAAAAGTGGAAAAGGCAGGCCCTTGGATGAGGAAGCTAAGGATATCTTGAACCAAAGGACACATTTAAGCTCAATTGAAATCAAAGGTGCACTTTCCTGGTTGATGTGATGTATTGCAAGATGAATATTTCAGATAAATTGCTCAACCAGTGTTCAGTTTTATTCTGCAGGCTCAAGATCTGCTTTTGATTAAGTACAAATAATGTCTTCATTTTTATCCTCATATACTTTTCTTAACTTACTCACATCTCCAAAGCTTATAGGGCTAGGTGGTCAGAAAAGGAAACAGGATAAATGAAAGGATAGTATTTTATTTCCACCTCTTAATTCTTTTGAGACCTGACAGCAAATTTTAGAATGTCCCATATGTAGATGATCATGAAAATTTTCCTACTATGTATTTGTTATTCCCACTTATTGGATCTCCATCATCTGCCATTATCATGACATTGATCAGCCAGGGGCAAGCCAGAAAGAATGCCAAGTCTCTTAGGGGTTGTAACAAACCCCACAAGAGTCTATTCAATGGCAATATTTTCTCACTGTCCTTCTGTTTTCCTTGGCAACTCCATCAGGCAACATAACTCTGGAGAACTCCAAGAAAAAAAAGCTATTGAAAAAGTGTCCCCGTGACCATAGTTGCCATGTTGCATCTTCACATAATGCACTACATATTCATATCTCTGGTAGTTAATTCTGACAAAGCTCTCTAAATATATTGAAGCTGGTGTGCAGCTCATAAGCTAAAATATTAAAATTTTAATAGCCTTCCATGCATTCTCAAATATGAGCATGCTGTATACTTTGATTTCCTTTGTAAGAGTTACAGTCTCTGAGCAATAATCTGCCATCTAATTTACATTTTTATAATGTGTCATAGATAAGAAAATATTCTCCCTCAAGTCTATGTATCTTTCTCTTCTGAATTGTTTTTTGTACTGTGTAAGGAGCTACAGATTTTATAAAATAATTGGGGCCGAAGAGAAGAACCTATACTATTTCTACAAAATACCTAATTTTGCCACTAAAGAATTGTGAGGCATCCTGCCATGACAGAATTACCTATACTGGGTCAGAAATATTCCTTAACTTTGCTCATTTATTCTACTAACCTGATTAATATGGAAGTCTTTTTAAATGTATAAATTTACATTGGCCCCATTTTTCATTTATGCACTGTTCTTTTGAAAGTACTAAATATACCATAATAACATCTCTTAAAATGAAACCACCAATCTCCATTTGCCCTTAAAAATTGTCAGGCTTTTCCACTTCCCATTTTCACTAAATATTTGTAATACCTTTGAATAGTGCATCTGGAATATAAAGTACATCTCAAAACTGTACTATGGTTTAAATGTAAAAGTAAGGTGAAGTTGAAGTGATGATAATTCCAGTTAATATATAAATGTTTGAAGAATAGTTAAATAGTCCTAGAAAACAATGTGGTCATTAACAGAATAATGGGAGATAAATCTCAAAACACAGAATAAGACTAGATTATTTAAGGTCCTAATCAATGTTGATGAAACTGTCAAGTTACTTTACAAAGCACAAAGCCAGAAAGTCAGAAGAGATTAAGCTAATACAACATGTATTTCCTGGGGACAATAGGGGACTTCTGCCTCAGCAGGCCAGGTTTTGACCATTTACCTGCTTGGCAATGTATCTTTTCTCTATAAACAAGTATCTGTAAGAGTCAATAGGAAAACATGGTACAGCAAAAAGACAGAGAGAAATTTTGATATGTTCAATACCATTACATATATATTTAATTTGGGGAAGGTTATGAAAAAATATTCATGCTATGTAGTAATAGTCCTGTTAGAGATTTATGAGTGCCCTAAGTAAAAAAGAAAAAGTTACATCATCTTGTTCCTTGAAAGTGTATGTAGTATACAGTCATTCACTTAGACCTGGTGATAGGCCACTTATTTTCTCTGCTCCTAAGGAACAGGTAGTTACGAAGTCTGCTCAGACATTTGAAACATTTAAAAAAGAGACTTTACTAACAGTAGTATTAAGTGTGGACTATATCTAAGTATAATTTAATGACTAGGAAATCAAGAGATATGCTTGAAATCCTCTTCCAACTGATATCAACTTAGCACTTTTTCATCTTTCATTTATTGCTTTGTAAAATAAAATGTATTAATCAACGTAACGCCCCCGAAGGTAAAGGGAGCCTCTCCTGATAATTGACCAAAAATTTTTCTAAAGGTAGTGTGTCACTGCCGTTGTGATGTTTTGTTTTGTTTTACTATTACAAACAATCTTAATATTAGCCCACCTGAGAAAGATATCAGGATGGTATAAGAGCCAGAACTATGAATTTACACATATAGATAAATTAAGAAGTATAAATTCAAATTTGGAGACTATGCCAAAAACTTTACTCCCTGGGATTTTCTATCAAAGATTTCAGCTCTAGCAGAAATACTTATCATTTTAAAACTAATTACGGCAATAGTATGGAGAATACAGCTGCCAGTTCACCATAGGTTGATCATGTTCATTTTCTTTTATTTTCTAGAATCTAGGCATTGACAAGTTAGGTCTTATATAATAATTATATGTAGACATATTTTTATTACAAAATTCTCAGTGCTATGATCTGGTCACTGGTAAAATTTAGGTATTCTTAGTGTAGTCAATAACTTGATAATTGTATGAAATAGATAAAATGTAATAATCAGCACAAATAAGAACCCATGAAAGTACCAGGTAGACCATAAGAATATTGAGAATGAAATTATTGCATCATATTTAACACTTTGAGGGACATAGCTTGTGTAAAATCCAGATTCTTGTTGGTGGATACACAAGAAATGGGGGACTATCTTTGATAGAATACTCATGGTTTTGAGGCTTGACACTTAAAAAAACAAATTTCCACTTTACAACATGTACAGAAAGTCAACTCTTCACGCCTCCCTTCCTATATCTGAAGGGAATGTGAGTGGGACTAGCCTTCTTCCCATTTGGAATTTATCACCAAAGTTTCTGCCTTCCAATGGCTTCATCCCACATTAAAAGTTGCCCTGGTGGTCCATGTTCATTTAAATTCAAGTGCCCTTAAAGAAGGGCTCCTCCAAGAATTTGAAGATGTGGATGAGTAAGATTCAACCACGGCTGAAGCTCTGCTCTCTGATCATTCTCATGCAGGGCCTATTTGTCTTTTCATTTCTGAAATAGGAAGTGAAGATCAGAAGAAACACAAGCATGTTCTCCCAGGAAGACAGTTGGTACCCCCCCTCACTTCCAGTGTTTACAGGTCCCTTTCTCCAAACAATGGTGATTTATTCATCTTCTGCTGAAATAAGATGCATTTGCAGTGGCATAATTAATCTCTTGGATAATGAATGTTCTCCTCTTGTTTGATGGCATTGCTTCCTCTATTTGACAGTTTTACTGTTCACAAACATTTTAGGTGGTCTTCAATTTTATCAGTTTACCTTATTTTCCATTTTCTCTCTCTACTTCAGTTATGGGAAGTCATCATTCTAGATATTTCACTATATTGTTTCTCTACTGCCACCTATAAAATCCTCTCTTTCTTTGGAAGGAGTAGAGGATGAAGGTAATGTAAAGAAACTATGAAAGGTCTCATGCTGTTATGAATTATCTATCTGTACAAACTGAAGTTTTTATTCTTACTTTACAAAGTGTGAATATTAACCTTGCCAGAGACATTACATAGCTTGCTCAAGGAGTTATAAAAGAATGGGAAGGTGGCTGAGCCACTGTTTAAAGCTGAGTTTGATTCTTAAGTCCATGGTCTATTACATTCTCTTGTGATTTTGTGTTCTCTATGGACTCTAGAATATCATCTCACTAAAGGATGGCAACTGGGACAGAGAACAAAAGTAACAAGTTTTATCATGTCCCAGCTTTGAACAAGACTGGTTCTACACTTGACCATATTGGCCTACAAACTCTAATTTGAGAGTTAGCAAAGGCATCCTTGAGGTGTCTTTTCTTTCCTATACCTCCGCTTATTTAGACACAGACATAGGACTCCAATCCCCTATACGTGTGGTCTGTAATCCAGGCTGATAATATTGCATCTCCCTAGCCATGATGATTGGTCCCCAGTGGGCTCTTGAGCCAAGCCAAGGTAATTAGAATCCTACTCTAGGACATTTTTACTGCAATTGCAGGGAAATACCTCATTTAGATCATAGAATTCCAGCTGGCCACATTCCCAGTCTATGGCAAAAGTCTGTCAGCTTTGATGGCAATGTATAACATTTTAAAAACAATAAAGGTAGCATGAAGGAGAACATAGTTTCCAGTTCACCATGGGAATACAGCACAGATGAGGAAGCAGGAGAGAGGAAGCCAGGAAGAGAACAATAGAAGGATAGGCAGAAAGAGATAAAATGAGCTAACAGCTGTGATTTCCTGCATTTAGTTGCCCTGAAACTCCATGTCTGTCCTGTTTTTGTTATATGAGCCAAAAAACAAATTTTTTCCCCAAAAGTAGTTTAATTGGGTTTCTGGTATGCTATGTTTTTGCACCAAAGATTTCTAATATACGTAGCACTCCAAATTACTATATGCCATCTTCATCATTATACAATTCATCCATGTAACCGAAGACCACTCATACCCCTGAAACTACTTAAATAAAAAGCAAAGCAAAACAGAACAAAAACAAATAAACAAAAATATATGCCATGATAGGACTTATATTCTTATCACTAGTCTCCTCTCTGGTTATGGGACTGGAGGCTAAGGTGAAATATAAATATGTCTTGCATCACCTTTTAAAAGGGTTAAATATGAAAGGAACGGTGGCCTTTTAGCACCCTAAACAAAACACTTGTCTTAGCATATGGCAGCTAGGCAATGATACAAACTCTGCTGGCAATCGTCTATGTTACTTTGGGCATGTAACATCTGTGCTTCAGTTTTCCCATATATAAAATGAGGAGAATTGTCTTAACTATAGCAACTCTTCCAGCTGTACTATTCGATTACTCTAAAACATGGAAGCCTTCTCAGATTAGCTTCAGTCATTTAACCATGGTTCAGGAATGTTCTGAAACATGTGGCATGAGCAACAAAAGAAAGGCTAGAGAGACTGGACCAAGCCTTAGGTTGGTACCAGCCTCATGAGTACAGAGTCCAGTGTCCATGCTGCAGGGAGGATGGCACCGGGGACCACAGATAGAGTAGGGCTGGGAAGAGGAGATGGAGGAGCTCCTGGAGATGAGCTGTATGCTATGGATACTCTGTTGTGTGATATTGTCAGTTCTCTGGGGTTGTGGAGTGGAGGGTAACTATAAGGTTTGTTTTGTTCATAGGCTCTGGCTTGCTTATGTGAGGTCAATAATACTTTATAATTTTCATTGAAACTTATCTATGAAAGAATTGGTTTCCCCCAGTGACCACAAATTATATTTTCTCAAATGCAATACTATACCTGCATTAGTATAGTATTATTCTCCTGCAGGTATAGTATTATTCTCCTTTGTATAATAAATGCATGAAAATATATTCTTGTCCCCTTGGGCTATTCGTATTTTAAGAAAATACACACTTCAATGTGATATGGTTTCAACTATACTATTGTAGTAAATATTTTCATTCTCACAACAGCATACTCTAATTCAGGTACTTTGGACCATGATGACACACAGCTGAGTGGAGGGTTTTTGGCGCAGTGAAAGACAACGTTATTGACCTTTGGAGTCAGATAAATTTGATTCCCAGCTCTACCACCTATTATCTTATAAACTCAGGCCTGTTATCTTATAAACTAAGGTCTTAGTAACTCTACATCTATTTTCTCATATGTAGTATGTGGATTATAAGTCGCACCACATAGGGGTGCTTTGAGAATGAACTCAGATGACTGATACACAATAGGCGCTTATGTATGTTAATTTTCTTCCAAATAGTCAAACCTGGATTACTGCATAAGGCCTGTTACTGGGTTGTTTTTCTTGTTTTTATTAAGAAGATTCCATTTTTTAAATGTTTCCTTAATTCAGCTTAGAAAGATCTTGATTAAGTCATTTCTGTCTTCACTTAATTAGGTCAATCATTAAGTTGTTCTCCAGATTTTAGGAACAGTATTAACAACCAAGCATATGCAAGCTCCCAAATCAGACATTCAGATGGGTTCCTTTTGATTTACTTTTAATTGAAATACTCCCTAGTCTTCTAGGAAACTCAGAGATAAAAAGATTCAGGATGATTCTGCTTTTCTCTATATTGCTCAGATTCTAACCATTAGGATGCATTGAGATTGGATCTTGGCTCTTTAGGAAGGAAACAGATAATCACACCATGAAACCCTTACCTTGATGTAATAGAATGGAAAACGGGTGGAAGTTTAAAAAAGTTGGACTGATAACTCTTTAAAAGAGATAATTAGTGTACTTTCAAAACAATCTTTGAAGGATGTAGTAGTGTAATTTAACTTTACTATTAATCAGTTATTTTTTTCCCTTTTTAACAAAGCACAGAAACAGGGAGCAACTGTCATTATATGAAAGGAACATTTGAAGCTTGATAATTACAAATACTTATGATATCAAGGTCAATTAGTTCTGAATGAAATAGTCACAGCAATCATAGAACTTCTTATTTTAGCTGTGATATTACAAAATATTATATTTGTGTTTCTGTTTTCAGAACACTTTCATATTAATCCTTATATAACAATGAACCTTCAAAATGGGTGTTATTTTCCCCATCTTAAATGATAGAAACCAAGGCTTGACAGAGATTTGAATTCAGAGTAGAATCCTGGATACAAATCTGTTAGGGATTTGGGGGACTTTGGAAGAATGGCCATCTGAACATACTTTAGCTGCCCTTTGTTTCAGTTTGAACCCATCTGAGCTAACTAGTTATTTAGCACCTGGGGCTTGCAGAATAGATGCCCTGGTCACTTGCTCCATAGCAAGTAGGTCAGCTGCAAAGTCTTCACACAGCAGCTTGTGACAAATGCAGATTCCCAATGCAATCTATGAATCGGAACTTGCACTATAGCAAGATCATTCACTAGACTTGCTTGCATATTAAAGCTGTAGAAACTTGCCTTAGAAAGCAAAACTGAGGCCATAAGTATTGGAGAACCTGAGGACAGCATCATATGTCCCAGGATGAGGAATAGAAACTCGCTTATATTAAAAAGTGTTTGACCTTGGATATTCTTAAGATCTGTGGGAGCTTGGCTCCCAGGGCACTGAGGAGAAACTAAAAAAGCTAAAGTAATTCCTCTCTACCTCGAGTTTTAAGAGCTTGAAATAACATGGATGCAGAAGATGAACTCCTGGTATTTTTGACAGGGTATTCACATCCTGGCTGCTGCCATTCTGCTACCTCACAGAGGAAGAAAGCATGGTCCCTTCCACCATTTGTGGAATGGACTGTGCCTCTGCTTGCAATACTGCAATAGCTGGACAGGAGCCCCTGTAAGCAGCCAAAGAAAATGGTTTCCCTAGGACACTTTTTGGCCCTCCGCTTAAGGGAGCCCTGTAGCCAGACACACTCAAAACAAGCCTCAAATGAAATAGTGTGGTGTCCAGAAAGCACACTAGGTGTATTAGGAAAAAAATGGCATGATGGATAGAAAATATCATAAGAGCCTATTAGTGCTTTAAAAAACAAATCAGCATTACGTTATGCCTAAATGTAAAATATAAACATTTTGAACATATAGTATTAATAGCTCATGAATGGATTTTTACAGAACTTAGTGGTAAGAGCCAAAAATCTGACACCTCCCTCACTGTAAATTGGTAAGCTCCCCTTAATACTTTGTCTCATGCCCTAGTGATTTGATGGCAAAATTATCACTTTCAGTAATTGTCATTACTTTTGTAAATGAATCTCTGAATATTCCTATTGTAGAATTTATCATTTGTTTACAACACAATTATCTCAACTCCAAATATGTGTTGCTATCTAATGATATTATTCCACTTTGACATAGATCAGTTGGATTAAGGACATGATTCCAACTCGTGTGACATTTTCTTTAATTCTCTTATTCTTCCTCGTATCTGTTATTTTCTGGGTCTCCTATCCTTCCAGGATTAGAGCGGCATCCCAGTCTCCAAAGTGGGCCTAGAAAATGTACTTGATTTATCCCTATTTGATCTCCGCTAAAGATAAAAGCTGTTCATCATTGTATTTAAAACAAATCAGTGAACAATCCTGACCTAATATGTTCTCTTTTCCTTGAAACACATGCATTTTAACAGATTTTAGTGATTTAACCTAAATCCATTCTTGAGAATTCAACATCATTTAGGATTAGTGGAAGGAATGTTCGGGATCATTGGATTTTGTATTCCTTCTCCCATTATCCGATTATACGTGTGGGTGATTTCCCTTTGCAGGCATGGCCAACTCTGATAATTCAAGCTCTTTTTTTTTTTTTTTTTTCTTTTTTGAGACAGAGTCTCACTCTGTTGCCAGAGCTAGAGTGTAAGTGGCATAAACAAGGTTTACTGTAGTCTCAAACTCCTGGGCTCAAGCTATCCTCTCACCTCAGTCAGCAATTTGGTAGTTGAGACCACACGCATGTGCCACCACACCTGGCTAAGTTATAAAGGTTTTTTTTGTAGAGATGAGGCCTTACCATATTGCCCAAACTGGTCTTAAGCAATCCTTCCATCTTGGCCTCCCAAAGTGCTGGGATTACACGCATGAGCCACCACACCTAATCAATGCAAGCTCTTTTGACTTGCTATTTTATGTATAACCTAGATCCCACTAAGTGAGTTTGTCCTTAGTACTACTTGTTACTTTTTTTTTTTTGAGTCCACATTCTGTTCACATTGTATTAACAAAGTGGGCAAAATGCAAAAATGAGAAGCTTTATTATATTTATGTTGTTTTATAATACTTTACAAAGTTTTGTGATTTCGGCTAATAATGTGTTAATTTTAGAGACAATCACAGTTAAGTACAATTTCTGGAATTATATTGTCTAATCCAATATTTTTCAAAAATGGACAAAGAGTGCATCAATATTTTTATAAAAGAGAAAAACTAAGTTAACATTCTAAAGTTTGTATGAATATGCAAATCTCTCTCTCTTGCTAGTTATAATACCCATATTTCTCTGTATGTTGTTATTTTGGATAAGAACATCAAAATAAATTTTAATTTATGGTTTTTTTTCCTATCACTTTACTTCAATGGCTCCTGAAGCATGACTTGCTGTCTATAACTGCAAAGTTATTGGTATTAACTCTTTGTCCCTTAAATCCATGAAAAATCATAGAATTGAATCCATTTTCAATGCAATCTGTCTTCCTAAACATTTTTCTCTATGATATCCATGATAGTCCATCTTCCCATATTACACAGAAAGGGAGGAATTTTAGGAACTGTGAATGATGTCTCCTGAACGCCAATCACTTGGAGATAGAATTTTATCTCTGCAGATACCACTAGCCCAGTAAAATGAAGAAAGAGGCTCAATGCCTAATCATGATCTGACTCAATTCCTGCAACCTGTTTATGAAAGTAGAAAGAACAGCGAGAGAGTGTAAAACCACAAGAAGGTCAAAGTACAAAAGTAGAACTCAAATAAATTATACTGAGAAGTTTTATTCTGGGCACTATATGAATACTGGAATACTTTTTAATGTAACAAACATTTGGACTGCAGGAGAAATAAGAGTAAAAACTCTCCACAGAAAAAATGTTAGAATAAGTGCACTATTTTATCTTATACTTTTAAATCTGCTTTATATATATGCAAACTTCCTTCTCTCTGAGGGGGTAACTTCTAGAAAGATTCTTACAAGATTGTCAGGAATTCATGCAAAAAAATAGTAATTTAAGTATTCAAATCTGTTGAATGCCTGCAATCTCTGTAGTTGACAGTATTTATGAAAGGATAAGAACATTGCTAAATTTGTAGTTGTTTTAAAATTATTAGTATAGTTTTAATATAAACTTATACTTCTTTATTTACCCCTCTCTACCCTGGGTCCTTGAGAAGAAGCAAGCCAAATGAGAATAAAAATGCAATATGAATTTGTTACTGTGAAGCTGGATTAAAGAAGGCATTAGAGGATTTTACATTTCTCCCTGATCCTGGACCTCCAAATCCATTCCTCATGCATGTCCTGTATTTAACCCTCCAGATGCAGGACTGGAAGTGAGAGGATGCTGAGCTGCTGAAGACAATCCTACAGTAGTATGTCTGCTGTCTGGATGAAGAGGGGGCCATGTGCCTGGTACACCTGGCTACACACAGATTCAGGTATTACAACACTAGAAAAAAAATCTGTAAGAGGCTCCAGAAAATTTGCACTCAATGTTCTAAGTAAAATTATTTCAGCTGAAAGAGAGCCAAAGCCAGGATGTCCAGTTGTTAATTGGCATTTGTCCAAACTTGATCAAGGATCAAAATTACCTGGAGGCATAGCTAAAATACAGCTTACAGTCCTCTCCCTATAAATTTTGCCTCAGTAGATTTGGGTTGAGAGTTGGGAATTTTAAAATTTATACTTTTTCCCTAATGTTCCAGCTACTTCTTAAGTCCAGGTGAGTGTTTGAGTCATTGCCACATTGATAAGAGGGAAAGCCTTACCAGTGGCAATAGATTAGGACATCTATTCAGTTTCAATTTGTGCAAGATTGGCCAAAGGTCTTTATTTTATTAAATTATTATCTTCATTTTGCAAATGAAGAGACTGAGGCACGGAGAAATTAAATTCACTCAAGGTGTCATAACAAGGAATTAACATAATCAAAACTAAAATTCACTCTTGCCCACTTTATTCTGTCTCCCAGATGTGATTTTCATTATGCCATCAATACTTGTATTTATGAAATTGGAAAATAAGGATACTGTTTGAAATAATATTCTTTTTAGTTTGGCAATTTTTAATGTTTTTGCTTCATAAACACATCTAGATTCTAAAATTGAAAGCTTCCGTAATTTTAGAGTGAAAGTAATGCTAAGTATAAGAGGAAGGTCTCATCATGTATATTGGAAAGGTCTCATTGTGTATATTGAAAATCCTATCATCTGTTTCCATGCTGAGCTGAAACAGAGTGATTTTCTGGCTGGCAGGCCATTTATCACTTTCCACCGGCCATCAATAATTGATTAGGGAGATTGGATTCTGCACAATGCAAATCAGCTCATTTTTTTCAACACGGAATACAGTTTGTGTCAAAATGTGGTAACCCTTGAATCTCTCTGCTTACTCATCTTTGATACAATGCTGGAATTTTCACTTACTCTTTTTTTTATCAGAAGAGAAAAGAAGAATTGGGCAGAAAGGAAAATAACCAGCTGGTTCTGTTTATGCTGATGCCTCTAAATTATTTGCATCTCACAATCTTTGTTTTTCCTTCTTACCTAAAAACAAAGAGAAAAAGGATGCTTTAGGTCAAGAAGCCAACCCCAGGATCTTTTTAAGGCAAAGCCTCCAGGCCATCTCTTTCATTCTCAGGAATGGAGTGAAGATTTGCAGACTGATAACTTTTCCCTTAAGGAACTATCACTATCATTTCTATCCCCTAACTTTCTATTTCTGCAAAACCCTGGTTGGTTGCAGAGTAGTACACAGTCTCTCCAGTTTCTGCAGTAAAGCTAAGTACACAGGTTATTTGGTTTAAAGGTCCACTGATCATCATGGCAGAGAAACAGGAAATTAAAGTAATAAACATGAGCAAGCTACAATGATTATGGACTCTTAACAACTTCATTTTGTGATGCTTCAGGGTTTTTTGGTCCTGATTACTTTTTTAAAATAAAGGCAGGGAAGTGTTGTCTGCTGCTTTTTAGTTCTGCAGGCAGGGCTTAGCAAATTTCTCTCTTTTGGATCTGCATTGAGAGAAAGCCCTTCCCTTTTTTATGGTGCCTCTGGAACAAATGCCTGAAGATTCAATTAATACAGAACAATAGGGACCTCCCTTTAGTCTCAAAGCTGGAAGTCTGCTAATGTGAGGCATCCCCATCAGAAGCACAAGCTGGAGAAGGAATGAGAACAGCTAGCACTGAGAGTCTGCGATGTGCCTGACTAGTCAAAGTGTTTTAAATGGAATAACTGATTAATTCCTTATAGCTGCTCTAGGAGGCAGGCATCTTCTCCAAGTTAGAGATGATGCAAATGAAGTAAGAGAGGTTTTATACCTCAGTCATATCCAGTGCATGAACAAGGTTGGTGTGGACCTGGAGCCTGCACTCTCATACCACTGGGCATATCTCTATTGCTTCACTGACCACAAACTTCACCCACTCTAGTGGCCCTGCTCTAAATATTGGGAGATCATCTTTTGACATTTTTTTCCCACTTGGCCAATTTTCCTATGATTGTACTGAGAGAAGTCCTCAACATTTATCATAAATTAATATATTTTCTATTTCCTCCAAAGACTTAAGTTCCTCCAATATGTTTGTGTATGTGATGCTGAGAATTAGTTGGTATGGGGCTGGGGTTGATGGCTTCTGGAAAACAAGATTTACATGGATTTTTTTTTCTGTCCTCCTCCCTTACACCTCCCTCTAGCTTTTTCTCTTTTTATGACAAGAGTGCCTGGAAGGAAATAATGCAACCACTACCAGCACCAGTATCAGCCAGGTCAGATCAAGACCAGCTGCAGCATTTAGTAATATAATTTTCTTACAATCTCAGCAAAAATGATCTCTGTGTATAAATAATACAAAAAGAGAGGCTTAGCTTTTTTCAGAATATGCACCTTTAGAGAAATGAAAAAAAAACTTTTGAGCTGAAAGATTGCCTGAGGCTTTTAAAATAATTTCTTTCACTCACCTAGGAAGAAAAGAGACATTATATTATTACTTCCCTTTTTGTTCAGTTTTGATTTTACAATATGACCAAGAGCCTATGCTCCCCCTTGATGCCCTCCTGTAACTGCCAATAATGTTAAAAGGACACATAAGTACTCTTCAAAGAGGTCAGGATGCTTCCCACCCCTGAACAATTGTGCAGGTGTACATATCCCCAACCTTCCTAACTTCCAGCTCCTCTTTGTGTGTGTGTGAGTGTGTGTGTGAATTTATACACACAACATAACAAAGCTAATGACTGACACTGCACTTTGATGGAGTCAGACCTGTCTCCTGAGCTTTCTCTAGCAGAAACCTCAAGAAATGTCTGTTTCCTGTACTTTTAAGAAAAAGGGAAAACATTCAGTGTTACAAAAACAACTTTGGGCATCTGAAAATGTAAACAGCAAAGGACAAATTAACTATGGTTGTGTTTTTTCATTTATACAGTTGAAGTGTTTATAGAAACTCATATAAAATATAGAGTGAGATGAGTCTGAATTAACAACAGTTATGGGTTAACTTATGAGCAAAATATAAATATCAAATACATTACACCTATAAGAAACACAGTGATATTGGAAAAATTAAATTGGGATGTAGAGGAAGCTTGGGTATGGTATGATGGAAAAAATATGATTGAACACTCAATTAATGAATTTCCATTATCTACTGAAGCCAGTACTAAAAACTGAGGTAACAGAAATGAAAGGTACAACACTTTCCCTGAAAGTGTTCATGGACTTGTCAGAGAGGAAGACAAGAATATTAAAAATTGCAATGGTATATGATGAATGAGATACACATTATACATACATGTAACAGTCTCTAATTTAGGCCGAGAAGAAGAGGGAAAGATTTTTAAGAGAAGGAGACACTTGAGAAGATGTCTGCAAGAAAGAAGTGGACAAATACAAAGGGAAGAGGGCAGAGCATTCCAGGCAAAAGAAAAGCATCTGCGTAACTCCAGAGGCATTTCAGAGTAAAGTGCATTTGAAGAAAGCTTCAAATTACTGCCTGTAGTTAAACCTAGGCTTACTGTATGATTCAATTACACTCTTAAGCTATTTATCAAACTGATCTGAAAACATGCACGCAGACATTTATAACAGCTTTAGTCATAATTGCCAAAAACTAGAAGTAACTGAGATATCTTCTAATATTTCAATTGGTGAGTAGACTGTGGTCTATCCATACAATAGGATTACTATTCAGTGATAAAAAGAAACAAGCTATTAATTCACACAAAAATATGGATGAATGAAAGAAGACAGACCCGAAAGACCACATATTGTGTGACTCAATTCATATGACATTCTGTAAAAGGCAAGGTTACCAAAGATAGAAACATATCAGTGGTTGGTAAGGTTTGGGAAGGAGATAGCATTCAACTAGAGAAGTATAGAAGATTTTTAAGGTGATGAAAAAATACGCATGGTACTGCAGTAATAAGACAATATGCATCTTTCAAAACCAATAGAACTTTACGGCCTGAAGAATGAAATCTTAATATACGCAACAACAAAAAATCAGCCAAGAGTTAGGGAATCCCAGGATGAAATGCACTGTAACAAAAATGGTAAAAACCTAAATTTAACTTCACTGAAGAAGTTTCCAACAAAAGTAACTTTGGAGAGCAGTTATTTGACTGGAAACTGTAAGGCTAAAGAGACAATGAGGGATGTGCATATAAACACTATACTCTAGTAGGTAAAGTTATGTCTCTCAGGGATATGAGTTAAAAATGCTGAAACTGCTTTACAAATATACTGGGGTTGAACAAATAAGTAAATGGATTGTCGAAGGCAGGAGTGACATTTCTCTCTGCTGGAGATGGAAGTTACAGATAAGCAAGGGAAAAATGGCTAGGAATCATCAGGTATAGGATTAGACTCTGTGACATAGTACGGACTCATGCTTAGATATTTAATATCGATATAAAAGGATATGAAAATAATTTTATGTATATATGTGTCTATATGCAGATTAGTATACATACATATATTTCATAGCTGTCCACTGAGAGAGTTTAGAAGCAATGGAAGGCAGTAAGAGACTGTGCGTGGCCAAATCTGGATTTCTGATGCCATTCTTTAATAAAAGAAACCAGAGCTCTTCGGGTTTTAGGGAAGAGGTGGGAAGATACAAGAACCTCACAGAGCAACTTGCAGTGCCAGAAAGTTAAAGAAGTGCTCAGAAATAAAGGGTCAAAGAGACTAACCTGTAAGAGCTCCCAATAGCCAAAGCTGACACAATTTGAGAACCAAAATAATGTAGCACTGGGTTATAACCCAATACATTAAATTAATATCTATTAATGATTATATAAATAAATTGTTGATTGAATGAAATAAATGAATGGAGGTAGAAGACATAGCACACAGATGATTCCAAGTAATTTTTGTAGATTCTCCCTCTCCAAGATGTGGGGCTTAATATTCTCTTTCCTACCCTCATTGAGTGTGGGCTGCTCTTTCAGAAAACAGTGTTTAGAAAGGTAGGCAGATGGGGTTGCTTTGTAGTGAAGAGACCTAGAAACACTGTTTCCACCAGATGATTCAGTTTTACATCACTTTAAGCCACATTCATAATGTATTCCCTTGATATGATACAATGAGAATGACATTTGACCTCTGTGGTCTTCCTCCCCTAAATCCACAACCTAAGTCTAACCATGTGGAGGGGAATTCTAGAAAATAACCACTACTCAAAATTGTCAAGTTCATTAAAAATAAGAAAAGCCTGAGAAACTACCACTGTCCAGACGAGGCCGAGGAGACATGTCAACTGAATGGAACATGGTGTTCTAGATGGGATCCTGGAACAGGATCAAAGGACATTAGGTAAAAACTAGGAATTTCCAAATAAATTTGGACTTAGTTAACTTAGTTAATAGGAATATAATTGGAATTGTTTCCTTAGTTGTGATAATTGTTCTGTAATTTGTTAAAAATAGGGGCAAGTAGGTGAGAAGTATACAAAAACTGCACAATTTTCACAACATTCTGGAAGCCTAAAGTTAATCTAAAATTAAAAGTTAAAGAAATATTACTCATGATGACAGTGTGGGGTGAGTTACCCACACTTCTATGAAATAATGTGAAGAATGGGAAGATGGAGAAGGCAGTAGGCAGAGGTCCCTGTAGGGTCCTGAATGCTATCTGAGTGTGGAATTTATTATGGCTTTGCTAAAGATTGATGTGAGGGGGCAGATACTTGTAGGGACCTGTCACTCATGTAGTCATCCAAATGAGAATTCCTTATCCAAATCCACATTTGTAGAGTGAGATGAACAGAAGAGACATAACCTAGTGACCAAATGATTAAAGCAGAGAAGGGAAAGGAAACTTCTCAGAAGGATCCAAAATTTCTCTTTGATTGAGCAGAAAGTGGTGTTCTTCCTTGTAGTATAGTTTGAAGTCAGGTAGTGTGATGCTTCCAGCTTTGTTCTTTTGGCTTAGGATTGACTTGGCGATGCGGGCTCTTTTTTGGTTCCATATGAACTTTAAAGTAGTTTTTTCCAGTTCTGTGAAGAAAGGCATTGGTAGCTTGATGGGGATGGCATTGAATCTGTAAATTACCTTGGGCAGTATGGCCATTTTCACGATATTGATTCTTCCTACCCATGAGCATGGAATGTTCTTCCATTTCTTTGTATCCTCTTTTATTTCCTTGAGCAGTGGTTTGTAGTTCTCCTTGAAGAGGTCCTTCACATCCCTTGTAAGTTGGATTCCTAGGTATTTTATTCTCTTTGAAGCAATTGTGAATGGGAGTTCACTCATGATTTGGCTGTTTGTCTGTTGTTTGTGTATAAGAATGCTTGTGATTTTTGTACATTGATTTTGTATCCTGAGACTTTGCTGAAGTTGCTTATCAGCTTAAGGAGATTTTGGGCTGAGACAATGGGGTTTTGTAGATATACAATCATGTCATCTGCAAACAGGGACAATTTGACTTCCTCTTTTCCTAATTGAATACCCTTTATTTCCTTCTCCTGCCTAATTGCCCTGGCCAGAACTTCCAACACTATGTTGAATAGGAGTGGTGAGAGAGGGCATCCCTGTCTTGTGCCAGTTTTCAAAGGGAATGCTTCCAGTTTTTGCCCATTCAGTATGATATTTGCTGTGGGTTTGTCATAGATAGCTCTTATTATTTTGAAATACGTCCCATCAATACCTAATTTATTGAGAGTTTTTAGCATGAAGGGTTGTTGAATTTTGTCAAAGGCCTTTTCTGCATCTATTGAAATAATCATGTGGTTTTCGTCTTTGGCTCTGTTTGTATGCTGGATTACATTTATCGATTTGCGTATATTGAACCAGCCTTGCATCCCAGGGATGAAGCCCACTTGATCATGGTGGATAAGCTTTTTGATGTGCTGCTGGATTCGTTTTGCCAGTATTTTATTGAGGATTTTTGCATCAATGTTCATCAAGGATATTGGTCTAAAATTCTCTTTTTTGGTTGTGTCTCTGCCCGGCTTTGGTATCAGAATGATGCTGGCCTCATAAAATGAGTTAGGGAGGATTCCCTCTTTTTCTATTGATTGGAATAGTTTCAGAAGGAATGGTACCAGCTCTTCCTTGTACCTCTGGTAGAATTCGGCTGTGAATCTGTCTGGTCCTGGACTCTTTTTGGTTGGTAAGCTATTGATTATTGCCACAATTTCAGCTCCTGTTATTGGTCTATTCAGAGATTCAACTTTTTCCTGGTTTAGTCTTGGGAGAGTGTATGTGTTGAGGAATTTATCCATTTCTTCTAGATTTTCTAGTTTATTTGCATAGAGGTGTTTGTAGTATTCTCTGATGGTAGTTTGTATTTCTGTGGGATTGGTGGTGATATCCCCTTTATCATTTTTTATTGCATCTATTTGATTCTTCCCTCTTTTTTTCTTTATTAGTCTTGCTAGCGGTCTATATATTTTGTTGATCCTTTCAAAAAAAACCTGCTCCTGGATCCATTAATTTTTTGAAGGGTTTTTTGTGTCTCTATTTCCTTCAGTTCTGCTCTGATTTTAGTTATTTCTTGCCTTCTGCTAGCTTTTGAATGTGTTTGCTCTTGCTTTTCTAGTTCTTTTAACTGTGATGTTAGGGAGTCAATTTTGGATCTTTCCTGCTTTCTCTTGTGGGCATTTAGTGCTATAAATTTCCCTCTACACACTGCTTTGGATGCGTCCCAGAGATTCTGGTATGTTGTGTCTTTGTTCTCGTTGGTTTCAAAGAACATCTTTATTTCTGCCTTCATTTCGTTATGTACCCAGTAGTCATTCAGGAGCAGGCTACAATAACCAAAACAGCATGGTACTGGTACCAAAACAGAGATATAGAGCAATGGAACAGAACAGAGCCCTCAGAAATAACGCCGCATTTCTACAACTATCTGATCTTTGACAAACCTGAGAAAAACAAGCAATGGGGAAAGGATTCCCTATTTAATAAATGGTGCTGGGAAAACTGGCTAGCCATATGTAGAAAGCTGAAACTGGATCCCTTCCTTACACCTTATACAAAAATCAATTCAAGATGGATTAAAGACTTAAACGTTAGACCTAAAACCATAAAAATCCTAGAAGAAAACCTAGGCATTACCATTCAGGACATAGGCATGGGCAAGGACTTCATGTCTAAAACACCAAAAGCAATGGCAACAAAAGCCAAAATTGACAAATGGGATCTCATTAAACTAAAGAGCTTCTGCACAGCAAAAGAAACTACCATCAGAGTGAACAGGCAACCTACAAAATGGGAGAAAATTTTTGTAACCTACTCATCTGACAAAGGGCTAATATCCAGAATCTACAATGAACTCAAACACATTTACAAGAAAAAAACAAACAACCCCATCAAAAAGTGGGTGAAGGACATGAACAGACACTTCTCAAAAGAAGACATTTATGCAGCCAAAACACACAGGAAAAAATGCTCATCATCACTGGCCATCAGAGAAATGCAAATCAAAACCACAATGAGATACCATCTCACACCAGTTAGAATGGAAATCATTAAAAAGTCAGGAAACAACAGGTGCTGGAGAGGATGTGGAGAAATAGGAACACTTTTACACTGCTGGTGGGAGTGTAAACTATTTCAACCATTGTGGAAGTCAGTGTGGCGATTCCTCAGGGATCTAGAACTAGAAATACCATTTGACCCAGCCATCCCATTACTGGGTATATACCCAAAGGACTATAAATTATGCTGCTATAAAGACACATGCACACGTATGTTTATTGCAGCATTATTCACAATAGCAAAGACTTGGAACCAATCCAGATGTCCAACAATGATAGACTGGATTAAGAAAATGTGGCACATATACACCATGGAATACTATGCAGCCATAAAAAATGATGAGTTCATGTCCTTTGTAGGGACATGGATGAAATTGGAAATCATCATTCTCAGTAAACTATCACAAGAACAAAAAACCAAACACCGCATATTCTCACTCATAGGTGGGAATTGAACAATGAGATCACATGGACACAGGAAGGGGAACATCACACTCTGGGGACTGTTGTGGGTTGGGGGCAGGGGGGAGGGATAGCATTGGGAGATATTCCTAATGCTAGATGACAAGTTAGTGTGGTGCAGCGCACCAGCATGACACATGTATACATATGTAACTAACCTGCACAATGTGCACATGTACCGTAAAACTTAAAGTATAATAATAAAAGAAAAAAAACTTAAAAAAAAAAAAAAAAAGAAAGTGGTGTTCTTCCTGAGCCAGAGGCCACAGGGGAGCCAATATAAAAATTCGATTTCAAAACACCTTGTTAGAACTGGGGATGAGAAAGCTAAGAGAACATTTTCAGTTTTCAGAAGGCAACCAGAAGTGAAAACATGCTGTCTTTCATGCTTCTTGCCTATACATCTCCCTTCCATTCATGCACCCAGAGTCCATGTCTACCCAGTCTCTATCTCCTCTCTTTTGAAGTGTGCCCTCAGCTAGATATTAAGTTTGAAAATCTTGATAAATTATTTCTTGTTAAGGGAGGAAATGGTGCAATGTATTAATAGTATTGTTTGAAACATATTTAACTTTAAACAAATAAAATAGCCAGATAGGAATAAGGAAGAAGCTGGGAGTGAATGGGGGTGAAATCCCTAGGTTGGTGCTGAGCAGCAGGAGAGCTGTGTATTTCCTACCTGAGGCTGTGATGAAGACGTCTCCTTAGGACAGAAATTTCACTCTCAAAGTAGAAGTCTAAATGTGAAAGGACCCAACTGCTGCTCAGAAACAGGAAATTCAGTCAGCTAGAGTAGTAGAATGAGCAAAAGAAAAAGGTCTTAAATACGTCTGATGAAAGCCCTACTGGGGGAAAAAAAAAAGAAAACCTAAATGTAATTAGGTTTTAAAAAATATTTTGCATGCATTCATCTCACAAACATTTGTTGTGCACCCTGTAAATATGTCATGCTCCATTTTAGGATGTTTGGTATGACAGTGAGTTGGACAGATACAGTTCCTTCTGTGATAAGAGCTTAAATTCTAGTGGCATGACAGAGATAATATACAAGTAAATAATAATAATAAGTTCTGGTTTTGAAAGTTCTCTGAAGAAATTATCAGGGTGATTATCTGAGCTAAAACCCGACAGATAAGAACAAAGCAGCTATTCAAACAAAAGGGGCAAAAAGCATACAGTTGTTTCATTCAATACTTTGGCCAGAGACAGAATGACCTTATTTAAGCCTTATAACTTATATTATTACATGAAATGCCCCCAAAATGTAAGCATTGTGGCTACTTCCATTTTATGCATTTGGAAAATGGGAGTTAAACATTAAGTAACTTGCACACTACTTGCTATGGGCTGAAGTCCTAACCCCAATGCCTCAGAATGGGACTGCATTTGGAGACAGGATCTTTAAAGGGGTGATTAAGTTAAAATGAGTTCATTAAGATGGGCCCGAATCTAATCTGACTGGTCTCCTGATAAGAAGAGGGAATTTGAAGTACAGAGTCTAACCACAAAGAAGCATGAGGGATATGCATACATGGAGAGAAGACCAAGTGGGGACACAGTGAAAAAGTGGCCATCTGCAAGCCAAGAAGAGAGGCCTCAGGAGAAACTCACCCTGCCTAATCCTTGCTTTTGGACTTCCAGCCTCTACACCTGTGAGAAAATACATTTCAGTTTTTTAAGCCACCCAGTTCGTGTTGTTTTGTTACATGGCAGTCCTAGTAAACTGATATACTACTTAACATGGTGACATAGGAACTAGAATCAGGCATATTTAATCCCACTTACTATGATTAGAATTACTATCACTTATAGTACCTCCACAGGAGCTTTTTCTTTTTTGAGACGGAGTTTCACTCTTGTTGCCCAGGCTGGAGGGCAATGGCACAGTTTCGGCTCACTGCAACTTCCACCTCCCAGGTTCAAGCAATTCTCCTGCCTCAGCCTACCAAGTAGTTGGGATTACAGGCATGTGCCACCACGCCCAGCCAATTTTTGTATTTTTAGTAGATACAGAGTTTCACCATGTTGGACAAACTGGTCTCAAACTCCTCATCTCAAGTGATCCACCTGCCTCAGCCTCCCAATGTGCTGGGATTACAGGCGTGAGCCACTGCGCCTGGCCACAGGAGCCATTTTTAATTTTTTTTTTTTTAAAGAAATCCCAAGGGGAATGCATGTTCTCTCAGGATCATTCCAAATACAATGTACAGCAGACACAGGGGAAGACATATTCAGGAAATAAAGCTATAATGGTGGAATGTCAGACACATCTGTATGACCCCATCTCTGTAACAGGTCTGGTGGTAGTGGTGGGAGACTCAGTGTGAGTCAGGAACAAGTATATTAGTTGGGGTGAGGAGGTGAGCTCTGGAGTGGGATTTCTTGGAGTCAAATCCAGGTTCTCCTACTTACTAGCTGTATTATCATGGGGAATTTGTTTCTAAATTTCCTTAATTTCTCATCTGTAAACCAGCTCACAGGGTGGGCATGACATTTATGAACAGGTGTAAAACACAATCAGAATGATATCTGATTAACTGTAAACACTCAATACATATTATGTAATGGCATTTATGAAGCAACTACCCGTACCTATTCATGGAACCAGGGATGAGGATGGGGGTTGTTTTGTTTTGTTCACTTCTGTATCTTCAGGACCTAGTAGGTCATGAAGAAATAACTGCTGAAGTATTCCTATGTAAACTCCGTTGAGAGACCATTTAGAAAATATATTTTTTAAAATGGGGCCTAAAAATGAGGAGGGTCTGGGAAAGACAACAGGCGGTGGTTCAGTAGTCCCCACCCTCTTGTTACCATGGTATCTATTTTCCCTTGTTCTAAAATCCCACCTGGAGCCACACATTGTGGGGCTCTGGCTGTGGTTGCCGGTGGTGCCCTGGCTAAATAGAGAAGGCTGTAGGGAGAGTGATCTCAACATGTATCATAAGCCTGTGTCCTAGGCAACAGACTTTTCTCCTGTGATCTGTCTTTCCTGGGAAATGAGAAAGAAACAAAGCAGTGAAGCCTGCAAAGGCCATAAGGAGGCTATCAACTTTTCTATATTATCCGTTCAGGCAAAGAACATTCTTTCCAGCAAAGACAGCTTCCGCAATTTCACAAAGCTTTACTATCACAGACTGAGCACCCTTTGGGGGTAGATATAACACTATCTCTTAGACCATGGAGCCATCTGAAGAGACAAAAAAAAAAAAAAATTCTTCAGACCAAAGGGACATGCTAGCTAATTGCTGAAACCCTGGGAGAGCCGGCGAGTGGATGCACTGTTTGAGGTCTGACAAGTGTTTCATAGGAGTTGGTGCTGCGGGTAAAGAAATCTTGATCACCTTGAGAAAGTGCTGCTGCCAAAAATGTTCTTGTTCTCTGATGATTAACAGGGTTATTATGTATCCCTTTTGTGATTACCCTTGAATATGTGACAAGGATCCTTTGTCATCAGTAGAAACACTGTTTTTACATTCCAGTGAGAACAGAAGAAAGGTTTAATTACCATCCATGGCATCTGCTTATTTGAGCTGTCTTATGAATAATCACATAGACCAATATATCCAGATGGCCAGGCTATCTTCCTTCCCCTGCCTTTCTCTTCCTTTCTCACAATGAAAGGCATTTTGCTTTATATCCAGAAAAGTCACTTATTGAAAGATGGTTGAGGATGTGGATCCAAATGCCTGGTATAATATGGAAAAATAAATCCCAGTAACAGGAGAACATGCAATAGTCATGCAGATCAACTGGTAGACATTTGCCTTATGAATAATTAAGTAGCTTTTTGACTTGGGGCAAAATCATCCCTCTTCCACAAACTAAATACTTTGTTTACCCATGTGCACATTAGAGATAGGAGGGGGTCTGATTTAGTTATTGAAAAATTACATGTCATATAAAGTAATTTGCAGATAGCTCCTCCTTTGGGACTCAAATTACCAAAACAGGTACAAAAGTTTCAGTAATTTATATTAATACAGAAGAACGTATCTTGAGCTGTTGTCTAAATAGCACACAGGTCAAAACACGTTATTTGGTGCCCTTCTCAAAAGGAGAAGGGGTTTTCCATGATTAAATATGTTTAGTAGCCATTGCATACTATATATCTCCTACAGATTCACAATAAGACCCAGACATTTTAGAGTAATTGGTTTAAACCTTCTCAATATATGTCCATAAACTTTTTGACCTTGGAACAATTTTTATTGTTTTTATGAAAGTCCTGCCAAATGCTGGCTTTGTGGCGATCATTCAGGAAAAACTGCCTTGCTTACTTAAGCTTACTTCTATAGACCCCCAAGATGTACTTTTCTTTATCATGGCACATTTCAAACCTAATTATTTGGAAATATACTTTCCTCCTTTCGATCAACATTCTGCATTCCAAACCAGTCACAGGGCTGAGGGCATCAATGCATCTACCCAAATGGTCTAGGGGAATTAGCCTCCCTTCTAGCCAGAGAGGTATTTTATGGCTTCCAAAGTAATAAAGTGGCCTATTCTCAATGCAGCACCAATAACAGCAGTTGCTTCCCACATAGACTAAAGATTAAAAACAGGACTTGGGTGGATTTATAGGGCAGGTCATTACACCCTGAAAATAAGAAGGTGTTACTAATTCTCTTTCCCTTGATTTAATAGACTGACAGCTCCTGGGCTCCAGGGAGCTTCATGAGACAAATAACTCTCCAAATAAACCACCTGGGAGTGGGAGAGCTCAGAGGTGACTCTGCTGTCTCTGTGACCTATGACTGCTCACTAATGCACAAGAGCAGCAGCCAAAACACCAGCTATCCCTAAGCATGTGCAATAAACATCAGGTGTCAACCCCAGAGGATTTGTGGGTGAACACCTGGACTGCTCACCCCTCAGGCACACCCTCACAGTCATGACGCTCTCCTGGGACTATTTATAGTCACTGACAATCTGTCTCCATCCCAAGACCAGTCCATAATGTCAGAAATTACTTGCACCCTTAACCTCTCCCTTCTCACCTTTAGGGAGGACCACAAGTGATGTACAAATCTCAAGACATGAGAAATGACCTGAGTTCTACCCTTTGGAGTTGAAGGCCCTACTTCACCCTGTCTCCCTCTATTGTGTCAGCATTGAAACTCCAGTTTAGATTTTAGGGTTCCAATTGCCACTTGTCCAAGAGAGGAGTTAAGATGTATCATCTGAGTAGGAAACTGCCTGCATGATACATGTTGAAAAAATTCTGAAGGGGCCTCTGCTGCCCAAATAATGACATTATGCCCCTGAGCAACCTAAAATATCTCAATTGGATATTAACCCTAAAGACATCAGATTAAGGCAGTAACAGACTTTTCTGAAATAACTTCTAGAAGATATTCTCATAATAGAGTAATTCTTGGGTATCTGGTAATGGTTATGGTTGTTACAACCTAGTACTTGATCTCTAGAGTTACAGAAAATACAGAGCATTATATTGATCAAGTTCAAGTTTCCAAATGGATTCTTGGGGAAAACATACATTGTGCTGTTAAAACTAGCTCCTCCTTGGGAGGTAACTATTGCATCCTCTTCATCCTGTCCTGGGGTCATGATCATGCAGTAATGTAGAAATCAGGGCATTTTATCTATCCAGATGTATTTGAGAGGCAGGAGAGTGTAGGGTAGTAGTTAGGAAAAGACGACAGGGAGACTACCTGAACTTAATTCTGATTCTCACACTTACAAAAACGAGAATCAGTTAGGTGCTCAACCTTTCTATGCCTCAGTTCCCTCATCTGTTACATGTGTTAAAATTAAAAAAAAAAATTGTTAAGAACAATATTACATCCTATTTTATGTTTTCTAGTAGAACTTGGTAAACTACTATAAAGTGCATGGAACAGCGTCTAAAATATACTAAACCATCAATAAAGGCTAATTTCCTGGGATTTAGGCCTAATTTAACTCTTTTTTCCTCTTTTACTTTTAAGTTCTGGGGTACAAGTGCAGGATGTGCAGCTTTGGTACACAGGCAAATGTGGGCCATGGGGGTTTGCTGCAGATGTCAACCCATCATCTAGGTATTAAGCCCAGCATCCATTAGCTATTCTTCCTCACGGTCTTCCTCCCGCCACCTCCCAACAGGCCCCAGTGTGTGTTGTTCCCCCAATGTATCCATGTGTTCTCATTGTTCAGCTCCCACTTATAAGTGAGAACATGTGATGTTTGTTTTTCTGTTCCTGCATTAGGTTGCTGAGGAAAATGGCTTCCAGCTCCATCCATGTCACTGCAAAAGTCATGATCTCATTCTTTTTTTATGTCTGCATAGTATTCCATGGTGTTTATGTACCACATTTACTTTATCCCATCTATCATTGATGGGCACTTGGGTTGATTCCATGTTTTTGCTATTGTGAACATGCTGCAACGAACATATGCGTGATTACGAGGTTTAAACTAAAGAGCTTCTGCACAGCAAATGAAACAATCATCAGAGCAAACAGATAACCTACAGAATGGGAGAAAATTTTTGTAATCTATCCATCTGACAAAGATCTAATATCCAGAGTCTATGAGGAATGCAAACAAATTTACCAGAAAAAAACAACCCATTAAAAAGTGAGCAAAGGACATGAACAAACACTTCTCAAAAGAAGACATTCATGCGGCCAACAAACGTATGAAAAGAAAGCTAGACTTTACTGATCATTAGAAAAATGTAAATCAAAACCACAATGAGGTGCCATCTCATGACAGTCATTATGATGATTATTAAAAAGCCTAATTTAACTCTTTGAAAGTCCTGTTGAAGGAGGTATCATGATGTCCCAGCTATAAAGATTTAGAAACTCAGGCACATTGTCACTGTTTCAAGGTCACACAGCCAAATAGTAGAGCTAAGCTTCAAATCTATTTCCTGTAACTCTGAAAACTCCTGCTTTTATCCACCATCCTGAACTGTATCCTTTCAAATCCTACTGCACTTGATGGCTGCAGTATCTTATATTTCTAATTCTCCTCTAATTTTTCAGCAACTTCATACATTAATTTATGGTTATACATATTCTACAAACCTTATGTACTTGGTGATACTGTATTCTTAATTAGAGGAGTGAGTTAGGAGCTAAGAAGTTTGGCTGTGCCTATCAAAGATTCTATCATGGCAAATGCCAGATTCCTTCCTTCTTTCTCACCTACCTATGGTCACATGACAATGCTTTTTTCAGATCTTTGCTGGGTGACAGCTTCTGTGCTTTGAAATCCGTTGCTGCATTTGCACCAAGGATGTTTGCTCTTCCTGTTCCTAAGACACACAGGACTCTTGATGGTTTCGGCTCAAGAACGTCCCAGTGGCCTTGGCCAACCTTCATCAGAACTGCACGGCTCTCCCAGCACCCTTCCCATTTTCTTTCACCAGCATTTTTCTTCTAATTCATTTCTTGACTATTTAATTCCATTTCGGTATCTGCTTTTTTGGCAACCTGGATGAACACATTGTTGAATTCTATAATAAATTGCAAGGCATCTTTCATTCTACTTTAATTCTCATCTCAGTATTCCAGATGTCCATTAGTCTTTCAAGATAGCTCTGTGAAAACTATCTTGTCCTCTGGAGATAACTATCACATCCTCTTCATTCTCCCAGTCATGATCATGCAGTAATAGAGAAATCATGGCATTTTATCTGCCAGGATGTATTTAAGAGGGCCCTCCACTGCCCAAACTAAAAATCAATTGTATATACATTTTAGATGTCAATAAAACCATGTGGCATTGAAGTAACTGTTTTCTAAAGAAAGGAAGAAAATTGAGGAAGGGAAGAAAAGACATATCATTTTTTAGTATCTACTATGTGCCAGGCATAGTGTTCTAATAGGTCATCTTTATTTCAGTTGCAAACTAATCTTATGATTCAGATTTACATATGAGGGCCAAAAAGGTGGTTAAGCATAACATGATAAACCTAAGGATCACAGACAGAGGTTGAATAACCCAAATTTCAATTCTTGCTACTCAAGTTTTGTGCTCTTTTTTGTACATCATAAAGACTCTCAGAAAGACAGTAATATTCACTGCATTTTAGAGATATTTTCAAGATATATATAAACGTATTTATTTGAATGCACACACACACTGAGACACACCTATATGTGCATACATTGAAACCGACCTGTACAGGCACATACAAACGCACAGACATATAAAATAAAATATATACATAAGCATATGCATATATGTACATAAATACCTAGTAGATACAGACGTGGCTATAAAACACACATACAGATTCTGCATGATTTTGTGGCATACAGAACTTAATTTATTCAAAACCATAACACATTATCATCAGGTGTTTTTGTTACAATGAAATTATCTGTTTCTCCTACATAAAGATTTTAACATGTGGATGAATGAGGATGTCAACGAAGACAAAGCATCAATAATGCCTAGTAGGATTCTGATCTATATTTGAGCTCCATTTAATTCTCCTAGTGCCCTTAGATATATGAGTTAAGAGTGGATCAGTTGCCTGTAGATAGCACAGGAAACCAATAGCTTATCACAGAAAATCGACATTCAACTTTTGAGTGTTGTCAAACCTGTTCTGGTCTCTGATAATGCAAGTAGGCTTATTAGCAGTAAGCAGATGGGATGCCCAATAATTTTAGAAGGGAAAATCAAAAGATATTTGTTGTCATAAATGTCTCCATTTGTGAAATTCCCTATGCACAATTATAACGAAGGTAGAACTGGTTCTAATAACAATAGCTTGCACTAATAAGGGTCCACTATATGCCTGAAATAGTACTGAGTGCTTTGCATATGTTATTTTTTATTTCATGATAATATGTCCAAAGTTGCATTACTAATAAGTAGTTGATCTCAAGTCTGTCTGTCCAAAAGCCCATATAGGTCACAAACTTGTTTCTGAGGCACTGCCACCTCTTACTGTTTTGTTTTCAACAACCCACTTTTGACATCATCTCCAGTTTAACTTAAGTATCATTGGTGACTCCCCACCAGCCCAAAAACATACATGTGCACACACATACATACAATCAGTCTCATTATTTTTGTGTTAGTCTTAACATGCATGAATGTCCCAAATTTCCAAGAGGATCATGCATCTTCCTCTATAAATAAATAACCAGACTCATTGCACCTTCTATTTCCTACAAGGCAGCACCCACCACACAATAATGGCAACAGACCAGCTGGAGGCTGCTTTGGTTGATGCCAGCTCCCTGGAAAAGTAACTCGCAGGCTATGTGTGAGTGCCCTCCATTGCTGAGTGAGCTCCCCTTCCCAGCATGCTTGGAAATCTGCCAAAATTCAGTATTTCCACTAGGGATCTCCAGCTGTGAGTCTGATCAAGCTATTGGAACTTAGATTAAAACATTAGTTGCATCCAGGTAAGATATGTTTGAAATAACAAAAATGCCAAACTATTTATTTTCACAATCAACTGTGAAATGAATATCCCAAATTTACAAGACGATCATCCATCTTTCTCTATGAATAAATAACCAGACTCATTGCGCCTTCTGTTTCCTACAAGGCAGCACCCATCACACAATAATGGCAACAGACCAGCTGGTGGCTGCCTTGATTGATGCCAGCTCCCTGGAAAAGTAACTCACAGGCTATGTGAGAGTGCCCTCCATCGCCGAGTGAGCTCCCTTTCCCCAGTCCTATTTATTTTCACAGTGAACTGAAAATAAATCATGGGAGGTAGACCCATCTTTGAATTGACAAGTTGATGACTAAAGGTCGTGACCCCTATGTAAAACTAAAGAGGAAAGTGTGAGGTGTGGCTAGTATTCTGTACATAGGGGCAGCAGATACAGATTTGGAGTCTTTTTAGGAAGAGGATGTAAGACAGGAAAGAAAGGAGAAGGAAATTATTATTAACTGAGCACCTACTATTTAACCAGATTTCATGCCTAATTTGAGTTCATCTTTACAATATTTCATCCACTCATTCATTCATTCATTCATTCATTCATCAACTGTCTTCTTGGTGCTATAACAAACACTATTCTAGGTACTGGATATTTAATTGAGAAAAGAGACAGAAAAGTTCTCTGTCTCATGGTAGCTTATATTCAGGGAGGCAGGGAGGAAGAAAAAAATAAATAAACAAACAAGGTGATTCTCAAGAGCAAGAAGTTTTATAAAAAAATACAGTAGAGTATCATGTGAGAGTGGAGTTGTAAGAGGAGTTTCTTTTTATCCCATGGTTGGGGCAGGCAATTCTGAGGAGAGGTTGCTTTAGTGTATATTTGAGGAATGAGAAGCTGGCAGCCCCCATGTGACATTCTGGGGGAATAATGATCCCAGTAGAAGGATCAGCACAGGAAAAGATGCTGGCTGTGGAAATCATAGAAGACTACTGAAGAAGAGCCCTGGGATGAAGGATAAATTTCATTGGCTTAAGGAGGACATTCATTGGCAAAATAAATTGTATTCTAATCTAAAGATGATGGAAATCCATTGGAAGTTTTCACAAATAGAGAGTGGTGAGATTTGACTAGGATATATTAAAATCATTTCAGCAATTATATGGGAATGGATTGTAGGAGACTAGCCTATTTATACATAATGAGATGTGCATAGAAGCCAAGTGGCATTTCAAAAGTCATGCAGATTTTAAAAAGCAGATGTGGGATTTAAATCTAGGAATGTCCTGGCTCTATAAGCAAAGGAGATATTATCTTGTTTGAGGCTGTTTCCAGTGCACCAAATTGCAACCTTGAACTATCAGTTCAATGTGATGAGCTGGTTTCTTTGCCTATTGAAGGCATTGGTCAAAGTTGATGAAAGTTTTTTGGTTTTGTTTATTTGGTGGAGGGCATTGGGTACTATGCAACTGCTGTCAACACCCTCAACTTACTGCAAGACATTTCTTTTCAATGCCGTTTAGCTACTAATACCTGTTAGATCCCACTATTAGATTCCAGTGTTACATTTTGCACACAACCAATCTCTCCTCTTTTATCTTAACACTTTTATTGTATAGCTGAGATATGGGAATGAGATTAGGCATGTAGATCTGGTCACGCACATGATCTGAAAAAATTGGATTTTTGTGAGTTATCTCTAGGTGAAAGTATTTTTAATCTTTTGAAGAGATTGTATGTTAATGGAAATTTGTAAATAAGTAGCATAGAGCTACTTTTTGTTTTAACAGATTAGCTTATAGCAAACCAGTCTTCTACCAACAAAAAGGATAAATGCTAGATAACATGCAAAGCACATCTGTTGGAAAGCATCATAGAGCTACCAAGAGAGCTGGAGCTTGAGAGACCAGTATCCCAGAGGAAAAGCACAGAAATGTGATCCAAACTGTCAGAGTCAGTCTTTCCTTCCAGGCATTTGAAGAAACAGCATCAATCCAAACTCACTTCTCTAGCGAAGAAAAAAAGAGGAAACATTTTTCAACTCATTTTCTAAGTCCAAATAATCTTAATATCAGGACCTCACCAGGTTATTACAAGGAAAAATTTTCAAAACAATGTATCTAGTGAACATACAAATAAAAGCACTAAACAAAATATTATAAAATCATACCAGTAATGAATAAAAAAGAATACAACACATACAACAATAAAACATATAAAAACTCTTGTAGCTAAATTGTATTACTAGAAAGTGAGTTTAAACTTGAAAATTAATTCCATTTTCTTCATTGTCCCTAAATAAATGAGAAAAAATGTGATTTTTCAGTAAAAGAGAAAAGTGATACCTCAGTTCATGCCATTAACAAAATCAATTATAAATGACGTGCAAGTTTAAATGTCAATGATAATATAATAGAAGTTCTAGAAGATAGTATAAGATGATGTTTTCATGATCATGGAGCAGATCCACAATAAGCAATAATAATGAAGAAAATAATGTTAAATTAGATTATTTACCATTAAGAACCTTTCTTAGTCAGAAAATAGTATCAAGAGAATGGAAAGGCAAGGCAAGCTATAGCGCAGAGGATGACATGGGGACCACATATTCTTGACAAAGACCTTCGCTCCATAATAAATAATGAGCTCTTACAGATCAATATGAAAAGGCAATATGGAACATCCAAATGAAATACGAACAAAAGACTGGAACAGACACTTCACAAAGGAGGTTACCGAATGGCTAATCAGCATATTAAAATGTGAGCAAACTCATTAGTCACCAGGACTAACAAGTAAGAGCCACAAAAAGATATCACCACATAATCCTTCCAATGGTAAAGTGACAAACAATATGTGTTAGGTCATTCTTGCATTGCTATTAAAAATACCTGAGTTTTTTATAAAGGTAAAGAAGAGGTTTAATTGGCTCATGGGTCTGCAGGCTGTAAAAGCATGGGACTCACATTGCTCAGCCTCTGGGGAGCCCTTGGGAAGCTTACGATCATGGCAGAAGATGAAGAGGAGCAGGCATGTCACATGGAACAAGAGAAAAAGAGGAGGTGGGAGGTGCCACACACTTTTAAATGACCAGATCGCATGAGAACTCACTCACCATCAAGAAGTCAGCACCAAGCTACGAGGGATCTGCCCCCTTAATCCAAACACCTCCCATCAGACCCCACCTCCAGCACTGGAGATTACAATTCAACGTGAGATTTCGGTGATGACACATATCCAAACCATATCACAATAGATAAGTATTGGCAAGAATTTGAAGCAGAAAAAGCTCTCATCCTTTGCTGTATGAGGTATACATTAGTTAGTTACTTTGGAACCTGATGACAGTATCAATTAATGCAGAACACGTGTACAACATAGGACTCAGCATGGCCATTCTTAAGGATGCACCTAGTTGAAATGTGTACATATGTGTAACCAAGGATACATACAATGATGTTACAGTGGCACTATTGTATTAGCTCCAAATTGCTGCAACTCCAATTTCAACAAAAGTAGAATGGGTATAAAATGGTGCTATATTCATACAATGGAGAATTACACAGGAATGATAGTGAATTAACTGCTACCCAATGACAACATGGGCAAATACCAAGCTCAATATTACTGAATGAAGAAAGTCAGACCCAAACAATTACATACAGCAAAATTTCATCAGTGAAAAGAGAATTCGGAGAAGTGTTTTCTTTGGAGACAAGTAGTGACTGGAAGGAGCCGTGAGGAGGGTTTCAGCAGAGTTACTAATACTCTTTCCTGCTCCTTGTGGTCCTTATATCTGTGTATTCCTTTAATAAAAACCCAACAAGCTGTTCACTAATGATTAGTGTGCATGTTGCAAATTTGCTGTGGATTAGCTGCAACTAGCTTTGATGTTCTCTTTAATCAGGGAACAAGGCTGAAGGAGGAGCTCCTCTGCCCATCTTGTAGCAGAGGAAAAGAGAACAACAGAAGCAGATAATGCATCTTGAGGCTGCTGCTCAGGAGAGAAACAAGCCACATCCACTTACAGGTCAGACCAAAGCAAGTTACATGGCCAACCCTAATATCAATGGGGCAGCAAGAATAATTGTTCCACTGGGATGGGACTATGCTGAACAAGAAGAAGGATTTTGAACAAATACTATAATTTTCCTTCCATAATTCTCCTTTTGGTAGAGTAACTTCACATACTTATATAGCAAACAGTTTGTTTCTTGATAAATTTAAAGCTTTCAATTGTAACAAAGTAAAAAATATTTTTAAGAATTTCCTAAAATTTTCAAAGAATAATATGTAATTGATTCCAAATAAAAGTACTTGTAAGTCTGCTCAGTAAGATTTTTCTTCAACAAGGAACTTCTAAAAACTTTACAAAAGCCAAAACAATTAATGTCTCTCATCTATCTACAAAAGCTGAGCTACTAATCATACTAAATTACAACTTTGGAGCTATTTTAGAATCTATTTTTATTCTAACCCTGAAGGTGTTATTTGGAAAAGTTATTTGGAAAAAAAAAAAGAAATTTTTATTGGGTCATTAAACCATTTCCTGCTAAAAAAGAAACAAGATTCTGACGGTACATGTCCATTTTAAATGCAAATGGTTCAGATTATATTATTTACAGAAACATCCTTACAAATCATGTGTATTTAAAAAACAATTTTAATATTTTTCATAAATGAATAAGATTAACTTTTTTATCCAGTGAATATAATTAAAACTCCTTTGCATTTTTGCTATGAGAAGACAGTTCTTTGAAATTGTGTGTGTGTGAATTTGTCTGCCAGAGTGTGAGGGCTGGAAGTGCTAATGCTCATAGGAGACCTGCTCTGTGTCAGGCAGCCTGGTAGGCTCTCCACACACTTTCTCACTCTTCTCATAATTAGTAGAGCTAGAGTTTCCTTTCGCATAGGTAACACTATTGGCATCACCTCAAATCCCTCCAACAGTCCTACCATGTAGTTACCATTATTCTTGTATTATAGTTAAAAGCAAAGGCCCAAAGTAAATAACTTACCCAAGTCCACACAGCTATGGACCCAAAGCCCACACTCTTTCTGACAAATATTCCTTCTTTCATCCATTCTTTACTAATATTAGGAAATTCCAAAGTATCATGTCAGTCGCAATAAATTGTAACACTCCAAACAAATTGTATTACTTCATCTATATTAATTGGCATTTCAGTTTTAATTAGAGCATACCTTGCTTTATCTGTATTTCTTTCTGGACAATGAAAGGAAACTTGTAAGTAAACAGTTATGGAAGCAGTTCATTGGTACTTTATGACTTATATATAATTTTTGTAGTTTTATTGATATGCAAAACTTCTTCATCGACCCTTTCCAAAGCTTACAAATTAAATGTTAGGGTAATCACAACGGTGAAAACAATGCAGGTGCTGATGTCTGTGCGTGCGTGTGTGTGTGTGTGTGTACATGCTCTGTATGTGTGGACAGCTACAGATGAATTTTGGATAAAGACTTTGGCATGAACAGTTAGGAGGACCAGCAGAAAACTGGCTAGCATATTAACGCATTTCTTCAAAAGCATAATAACATTTGTTATTTATTTACTGTAATTTGAAGCAGAAGTAGAATGGAGGGATGGAGTTAGAACAGCCCAGAGGTTCATTTAATTGCACCTGAATTAGCAGAGTTTAAAAAGTAAAAGATATGCCATAAGCATTTGCTTCTGACTTGATGACCTGGCCTGTGTTCTTTAATGAATGATTATTGAAAACTCAGTTTTAATATGCTTTCTGTTAACATACAGGTCACATTTGGCAGTTTACTTTAAATGTAAAAAGGCTTCTAAATTAACCTGTCTTGGGGAGGCCTTGTGATTCATGGTGGCATCCTCTTTTGCGTAAAGAATCATAGGCCGGGCGCAGTGGCTCACGCCTGTAATCCCAACACTTTTTGAGGCCAAGGTGGGCGGATCACCTGAGGTCAGGGGTGTGAGACCAGCCTGACCAACATGGAGAAACCCCATCTCTCCTAAAAACACAACATTAACAGAGCATGGCGGTACATGCCTATAATCCTAGCTACTCGGGAGGCTGAAGCAGGAGAATTGTTTGAACCCAGGATGCAAAGGTTGCAGTGAGCTCAGATCACACCATTGCACTCCAACCAGGGCAACAACAGTGAAACTTCGTCTCAAAAAAAAAAAAAAAAAAGAATCATGAGTTGCTGAAATTATTTATGCACTTATTAATTCATAACCTAATGACACTGAAAAAGATACTGATTTATTTCTGAATCATGATGTTTATGATGGTTTTGCATTGCAGGCATTTTAGCCTGTATGTTGCCAATGATTGCAACTTCTATATTGTACCTTCCAAATAAAAACGACAACTCTGGCGTGACAACCACCCACCCTCCGACCCTTTCTCCTAAACTTTTCTATAAAAGTCTTTCAACTTGTACCAGACTCCAGCACACTCCCAAACTTTCTTGCTGTTTGTTCTCTGGTCAATCCTCCTACTTGGCTTCTAATAAACTTTTATCATATTATTTCTGCCTCAACACACTCAATTTCTGCAGATATTTCAAATGATTTCTAGTATGTTGTCAGAAAGAAGAAGGAAGAAGATGAACAGGGAGAGGAGGAATAGGAGGAGGGGAAGGAGGGAGAGGAGGGGATGGAGGGGAACAAGGAGGAGGAGGAGGAGGAAAGTGAACTGGTAAGAAATGATTATTTACAAGCAAAATTCCAAGAGTGGTTGGCTTATAACTTATTTAAATATTTGTATTTGATCTCTACCATTGCATATGCCATTCTACTCAGAATGAGTAGAATGTGTAGAATGAGTTCTACACAGACTCACTAGCATATTGCTGCTCTTTTATTATTCTAAGAAATTGTACAGTATCTATGATTATGATTCCAGTCTTTCTATTCAACCTGAGAACAATATAAAAGTTCAGAGACAAGGGATCAAACATGTCTTTCAGTTATTTATTTTTGCAGTGGGAGGACACAGAACTTAGATGTCTGGATAGCAATTTAAAATATGTTGATGTTGCACAATAGTCAACCTTCACTCACAAGTAAATGTAAGTATTTAACCAGGATAATGGCTTTTGCTTTCTCTGAAGAGCCTCATTTTTCAAATCGGTCTTCTCAGTTCAATTCAGGAAAAAACTGTTCCCATTGGAGAGTCTTCTTCCAGTCTTATGGCTGTGCCCAATGCTTCTGAATATGTTTGCACCCAGAGAGGTACAGGCACTTCTAACTGAATTGTACTGTTTCTTGACATTTCTAGAGCCTGAAACACTTATCTTTTGAAATAATTCTATAATGATAGGTATATAGATCATATCTATATATACATATCTATACATATGATTATTTTATTTTACTGTGTCAGTATGAATAAAAAATACCGTATTGTTTTATGGGAAAAGGCAACAAAATGTCACTGAAACATAAGGCTTCCTTTTACTTCTAGATCTGTGTTTAAATTAACAATAACTAGTCACCACTTACTTTTATTTGCTGAGTGCCAGTTACAATGTTAAGTGCTTTATGTGGATTATTTTATTCAATCCTCACAGTATCCCTGGAGGTAGGTGTTAGTATATGACAGCAAGACCAACTACAAGTGGAGTTCAAAAAGTAAACATCACATAAAATGTGCCATGTTATTAGCAGCTTCATGGAATGACCAGTGTGAGTCACGTGGTTAATGTGGTGATGTCTGCAGTGGTGGTGAAGGTGAGAGAGGGTACTAGTCCAGTGAAATCCTAGTTTCTATGAGTGCTGCCTAGAGTTTGCCACCACCTACCTGTGCATTGTTGATAGGTCCATATGTATTATTCCTAGGACAGTTTTAATCATTCTAGGAATTAAAAAAATATATTTTTGGCCAGGTGCGGGGGCTCAGGCCTGTAATCCTGGCACTTCGGGAGGCCGAAGCGGGTGGATCATCTGAGGTTAGGATTTCGAGACCAGCCTGCCCAACATGGCAAAACTCCATCTCTACTAAAAATAATAATAATAATACAAAAATTCACCAGGTGTGGAGGCATAAGCCTGTAGTCCCAGCTACTTGGGAGGCTGAGGCGGGGGAATTGCTTGAACCAGGGAGGCAGAGATTGCAGAGCCGAGATCATGCCGTTGCACTCCAGCCTGGGCGCCAGAGTGAGACTCTGTCTCAAAAAAAATTTTTTTTATTGATACATATTGTTTATATTTACAGGGTAGATGTCATATTTTGTTACACATATAGAATATGTGATGATCAAGTTAGGATATCCATCACCTCACATATTTATCATTTCTGTATTTGGAACATTTCAAGTCCTCTCTTTAAGCTATTTTGAAATATACAATATATTGTTGTTAATGACAGTCACTCTACTCTGCTGTCAAACATTAGGCTTATTCCTTCTATCTAACTGTATGTTTGTACCCATTAACCAACCTCTATTCATCACCCCACCATGGCAAACACCCTTTCTAGCCTCTGATAAGCATCATTCATCTCTGACTCCATGAGATTAACTCTTTTAACTTTCATATATCAGTGAGAATATGCATATTGTTTGTCTTTCTGTATCTGGCTTATTTCACTTCACATAACGAACTCCAATTTTATCTATGTTGTTGCAAATAATAGGATTTGATTCTTTTTTATGGCTAAATAGTATTTCTCTATATATATATATCACATTTTCTTTATCCATTCATCCTTTTATGGACAATTAGGTTGATTCCATGTCTTTGCTATTGTGAATAGCACCGCAATAAATATAAGGTGCAGATATTTATCTCTTTGAAATACTAAAAAAAGAAGAAAGTTTGAATATAGTTTGAAGAAGTTTGAAGTTTCAGTTACTATATCTTTGTAACATATTTTGAAGTCAGGTAGCGTGATAACTTCAACTTCATCGACCCTTTCCAAAGCTTACAAAATAAATGTTAGGGTAATCACAACGGTGAAAACAATGCAGGTGCTGATGTCTGTGCGTGCGTGTGTGTGTGTGTGTGTACATGCTCTGTATGTGTGGACAGCTACAGATGAATTTTGGATAAAGACTTTGGCATGAACAGTTAGGAGGACCAGCAGAAAACTGGCTAGCATATTAACGCATTTCTTCAAAAGCATAATAACATTTGTTATTTATTTACTGTAATTTGAAGCAGAAGTAGAATGGAGGGATGGAGTTAGAACAGCCCAGAGATTCATTTAATTGCACCTGAATTAGCAGACACTCTAATATTCATATTTGGCTGCCAAAATACCACAACTCTGTACAGTTTCAAAGCTGCTAATCTGATCATTTCTCTCTGTTCCTCTCACCTTTCCCATTTTAGTCTCTCTACTGACAGCAAAAGAAGAAAAATATTTGATTTGATTTAAATTTTGTATCATTCAGAACTGATGACCCAAGGGAATATTCAGGGTAGGACATGACTTCCTTTCGGCAAGAATATTGTAGGTGAAGAAATTCAAATGAATAGAGAAATTCATAGTATGAATTCAGTTACATCAATTGACAATTATTTACATACTTTCAATTCTATACCACGCAATGCACTGGGTGCTGAGGCAAATAAAGTCATGTGATTTCATCCTGAATTATCCTCAACCTGATTAAAAGTACAAAACATATAAATTGATTTACTAATTAGAGTTTAATTATATAATTTAAATTATAAAATTTTATAATATATAAGGTTATATATTATAACCCTGTGTTATATAGTAGAGATATGATGGTGAACAGGACAGAGACATTACCTTCAAGGAGGTAGTGTTTAAATCAAGGTTGCCAACAAGTAAAAAAAAAAAAAAAAAGCAATATGGTGTGATGACTATGGTGTGTGTTTAATGTAAAAATAAACACAAGGTCATCAAAACCAAACTTGGAAGCTTGGGGAAAGTTCTCTGGCCTCTTAATGGAGATTTCAGAAATGAAGCAGAGCTCCCTAGTCTAAGGAAAAAGAAAAGAGTGTTCTAGGAATTGGAAACAGCAGGTTAAAAAGCCCAGGGACAAGATACAACTTAGCATCATGCAGGAACTGAGAGTAGGGATTGTAACTACACATACTGAAATCTCCTAAGGTACTTATACTAAACACATGTGTGCACGTGCACATGCACACACACACACACACATATATGAAAGCAAATCAGCAAGGAACTCTAGTTGTTTGATTAGAGATGAAATCAGTTGGATGGAAAGAATGCCAGCGAACATGAGATCAGCAGTAGCTGCTATAGAGGAGAAAGGGGGAAGAATGCGGACACTGGAGGCAATAACATCAAAGACCAGGTGTTGGAAAGCAGAGAGGCGGCAGACTAAAAAACAAAGAACTGCTAGAAAGCTGAGATGAAAGACCTTTTTCTTCTTAAGATGGATGGATTCTAGGGGCACTGGTGACAGCCCCAAGTACCTAGATATAGCAGGGAAATTAAAAAATAAAAACCCAAGTATTTGTGGGCCTGGAGCTCTATGAATGTGTGGAGGAAATGACATTGTTTCAGACTTTCTTATAATCCCTTCCCTAATTTTCTGTAATCTTTTCACATTAGCGTCCCCTAGGGTTCCATTCTTGATTCTCATCTTTACTTTCTGCATTCACACGCTTGATATCACATTTAAATAAGACCCACACACTGATAATTCCCAAATATATAACGCAAGCCTAGACATTTCTTCCTAACTCCACATCCACCTAAACAACTACACATCTGATAGCTCCACCTAGCTGTTGCAGGGGAGAAAAAGTAGCGTCTTTTCCTCACCCACCACAAGGTCCATGACTGACACTCCTATAAGAAAAGACAGATTAACAAGAGCAAAGCATCACAAATTTATTTAACAAAGTTTTATGTGACATGAGAGGCTTCAGAAATTAAGGTTCAAAGACCTAAGGAACAGTGTGTATTTTTATGCTGAGTCTGAGGGAAGAAGTGGAGAGGTGTGGAGAAATATGACTGGACAAAAATGGAGTATGACCTAATGGTGACAAGCTGGGGGAAATTTGGCAAGGCCTGTTCAGATTCTTTTTGGCCTCTCTGTGTAGCATTTCTTTCCTCTGGGTAGAAGGAAGGACTACTTGTCACATGAGGGTCTTATGATCTACTTTCATGGGAGGTAGGTCAAAGAGTGAACTTTCTAGGTTTTATAGCTTGTTTTAGGAAAAAAATAAGGGTTGGAAACAGAAGAAAGGAGAAAGTCAGAGATAGGCCCTGTTGCTTTTCCGAGGCCCTCCTGCCTTTTTCAGCTCAAAAGTGCTCAGCCTGCCAGGGGACCATACTTTGGGGCATCATGTTCTGAACCGCAATGATGTCTAAGAGGCTTCTCATATTTAACATATCCCAAACTGTATTAGTCCGTTCTCACACTGCCATAAAGAATGACCTGAGACCGGGTAATTTATAAGAGGTTTAACTGACTCACAGTTCTGCAGGCTGTACAGGAAGCAAGGCTGGGGAGGCCTTAGGAAACTTACAATCATGGTAGAAGGCAAAGGGGAAGCAAACACATCTACATGGTGGGACCAGAAGGAAGGAGGGGGAGGTACTACACACCTTTAAGCAAGCAGCACTAGGGGGATGGTGCCAAACCATGAGATACCACCCCCATGATCCAATCTCCCACCAGGCCCCTCCTCCTACACGGGATTACAAGTCAACATGAGATTTGGGTGGGGACACAGGCAAAATCATGTTACCAACTTAATATCTGATTTCTACCACATCCCCCAAATCCTACTGCATCCCCAGTCAGCCCCATGCCCATTGATGACAATTCTTTACTTCTAGAAATTAAATAAAAAATCTTAGGGTTGTTCTTGACTTTCCTTTCCTCTCACACCCCAAATGCAGGACATCGGTGTTATTTTATTGACTCCACCTTTGTGCCATGCCTATAATCCAAGCACTACTCAGTAGCTCCACTCCTACCACCGTAATCTGAGCTAGAATCATTCCTCACTAGATTACTTCAGTTGCTCCTGATGGGCCTCCCTGTGTTTTCCCTTACCCTCTCTGTGTGTATTCTCAGTACAGCAGCCAGAATCATCCCTTGAAAAGTTAAATCAGGGTTTCTAAATTCCAGCAATATTGCAATATTGACACCTTGGGCCAGATGATACTTTGTTGTGGGCATGTCCTGTATATTATAAAATGTGTATTCAGCAGCATCCCTGACCTCTACCCCTAGGTGCCAGTAGCATCTCCTCCTCATAGTTGTGACAACCAAAGATGTCTCCAGACATTACCAAATGTTTCTTTGGATACAAAATCATCCTTAATTTTGAACTACTGAGATCATAAGATTTCTTCTTAATCAGAGTAAAAGCCCATGTCCTTATAAGGGACTATACTTTCTGCTGCATTCCCAGCCCTTTCCCCTTCTTTGCTCATTCTCACTACTCTCACTTATACCCTGGGCTTCAGGCCCACAGGACCACTGCTGTTCCATGGATGTCAGGCCAGCTCTGCCTTTCCCAGGCATGGCTCACTCTTTCTTTCAAGTCTTTGTGCAACTGTTACTTTCCAAATGAGGCTTAACTGATAACCCAATTGTAAATCACAACCTGCCACTACCACCTCTGTATCATTGATAGCAACTGTTTTCTCCTAAGTTTGCTATCACTTATCACCTTCTAACATATATAATTTGCTGATTCATTCAACAGCTATTTATAGAAGTCCCATTCTCTAATATACACTATTCTATACTCCTTGGGTTTACAAATAAATAAAACAGATTCTAGCTGCAGGAAAAAGGTATTAATCAAATCAACAAATAAAAGATATAATATGTCAGCTGGTGACAAATGCTTACTGCTGATAAGAAATTGCAGTTTTAAGTAGGACAATTTGTTGAGATTGTGAGTTTGAAAGATTATCCATCTTTCTGTTTCTTTGTGTTGTCTATCCTCCTCCATTAGGTTACAAGTTCCATGACACCAGTGATTTATTTTTTTTCTAATTTTTACCCATGAGACAACACTACCAACTTGAGTAAACTCTGACACTTAGTGGTTTTTAATATTTTTTTCTTGATTAAGAAAAAAAAACTCCTCTTGAATCAAAGAAAATGATTTAGACTATGGAATCCTTAACAGTTTTGTACTTAATAGTATGAGTGGGAGGTTCATTCTGGAAACATGGCACACTTATTTCCTGCATGAATCTGATATGAATTTATCACAGAACATTGACTTTCAGATTACCTATCGTATCTCCATGAAAAGAGAACAACAATACAGATTAATGTAATAAGTATTATATAAATGGTGCATACTGTGTTTTCAAGGTACAGATATGGGACAGTCCATTTCAGTTGGCCAGAAAAGGGATTTAAAATGTGCCTTTAAAGATAGAATTTCAGCCGGGTGAAAAAAGGAAAAAGACCACCTGAAAGATAAACAAAACGGGGAGCCAAATATCACGGAGTCTTGCTCTGAAATTGTGCCAAGGCCAGTAACTCATCTCTTGCTTTCTTAACTTATGACTAATGTGAATATGGGGGTCACGTATGTTGTTGCTCAGCCCAAGATACATTTTCAAGTAAAAGTAATGTTATTAAAAATTACACCAGGAAAATGAGTATAATTTGGGACTGTTACAGGCAGACCTCATATATGTTATTACAAACTTTGCCTTGTACCTTCTTCTAGTATTATGTTTCTTCACTTGGATGGCCTCCATCATGCGTGTGTCCCTGTGCTGGTTTATATTCCAGTGGCAGAGGGATGGGGTTCTGCAATTCCCCAATTTCCACTCCCCATCATTCCAAATGACTGAAATCTTTTACCTATGCTTGAGCCCTTCTATTTTCTACTGAGGCTTCATCCTTCTGAATGCCATTATCCTAGGTTATCCTTTTTTAATATGGGGCTTTTAAATAACAATAACTGTGAGTTTGATTGTGTTTTGCTTCCTATTTGGCTTCCCTCACTTCCAGCCCAGTTCCAATTATAACCCTATAGGTGTTCAAAGAGAAGAAGGCATTTCCTGCCATAATTATTAGGAGAGGCTTCAAGTGAGAGCTGAAGGATAAATAGAAATTCAATGCATAATATGTAAAAATGAATGAACACATATTAATGAAGGTAGTTGGTGGTAGTGAAATGACGTCAGCCAATATGTTAAACAAAACATTTTCAGACACTTATGAAGAACTATGCAGAATTTAATTAGGGTGGTTAGCAAGGTTTACAAAAGAGCAAGCAACATGCAATTATGTGTCATGTTGAAGAACTTCCTAAATATCAAGCCATGAGAATAGACTTTATTTTGAAACTTGTGTAATTGTCCCGTAGAACTGATGCTTATGGCTTCTTTTGAATCAACATATAAATTAACCATCTGAGTCTTGAAACTTGAGACACTTACATTTGTCTTATCTGAGTTTCTTTCTCATAAAACTGACTATCAGGACTCCCAGATGGGATCAAAGTACTGAAGTTTACCAGGTCACTGCATCTGGACAATGAGATGCCAGACCTCTCAATCATCATGATTGCCTAACCAATCCCCTGCTTCCTGCACCAACTCTTCTTCCTTACCCCTCCCCCTAATTCCTGTTTCCCCACACATGGTTAGATTTCTCCCTTACTATATAAACTTCTAACTTTAGTTGATCAGGGAGATGGAATCAAGACTGATCTCCCACCTCCTCTACTGCAGCACCAGATTAAAGCCTTCTTCCCTGACAATACTTGTTGTCTCAGTGATTGGCTTTCTGGGTTGTGAGCAGCAGGACCTAGACTGAACTTCAAAGCCTTTTGGTAACAATTTGAAAACAACATGAAACTACCTAATTTTTTTTCTGAGTATGTGTCTCTAAGCAAAACTTTTTGGCTGAAGGGGATTAAATGACTATTCACAATACTCATAAGCATTTTTGGGAGGTAGGAGTAGCTAGAGTCTGAGTTTCAGACACCAACTAATTAGCAAATAAGTGAGGGCTTAAAAGACAGGAGTGCTAACTATGGTGCTGCTGTTACTGCTGCTAATGATAATATATCCATGTGCCAGGTAGTATGACAAGTGCTTAACAGGTATTGTTTAATGCTAACAATAGTTCATTCAAGTAGGTATTTGATTTTTCCAATTTTACAGGTAAGAAAACAATGGTTTAGGATGTTTATGAAACTTGACCGAGTTTACACAGTTCAAAAGTGGCAGGATCAGGATTTGATCCAATGATAAAAGCCTGGCTAGGAAAACTTACTTCTTAACCATTTTGCTAATACTAACTCTCCAAATAGGAGAAACAAGTAGGAGTAATCCATTAGGAAATGAATGTGTGTCTTTCCTAGAAGTGTAAATCAGAAAGTCAAAAAGCAAATCTAACTGAAAAAGTAGAAATTGTCAGTTATCACCTAGAAGTGCTGGAGCAAAGATACAACTCAGGAATGGGGAAAATTATGTGGAAGCAAAGGGAAGTTAATTAAGGCATAGAGGGAAAAACATAAAGCTCAGACTATTAAATTGACCTTGGCCCTTTAATGGGTCCAGGCTTGTCCCTTCCAAAGTCTTGTGTTAAAATGTCTCCAGTCCTCCTTTTCCTATACTTCCTCATGTATAGGTTCCTCTCTGCCCTTGCTCCACCAGGAGTCACATCTATAGCCAAATACTGTTGCGATATGGACAATCCTCTAGCTTGGGGACATTTACTCACTTCTGTTACCTACTCTGCTGAACTGCTGCATACCCTGCCACAGTTCATTTTCCCAATCTTCACCCTCACACACACCCTCAGGCCACTCTCACTGTGGGAGCCTCCTGATTTCTGTTTATTAGGGAAGAAATGAGTTTGGGTAAAGTAGTATATATGAAAATTTCAATCTCAGTATACTAGTCAAAGTCAGAGTTACCTTCAGCAAAAGGGGACTTGGAGATAGTGGTTGAGATAGATATGACTGGTATATGCAAAAGACTTGGGATGACCATTCCAATAAATGCAAGCAAGTGTAGAGGGGGGAAAAATAATAAGAAAAAAAATCTTTCTTCTATTGGCTTAGGTTCAATGTCTGAGGCCTGCAAATGAAACTATTGAAAGACAGATTAACTAGAAAAGATATTTATTTTATATGCACTTAGGGGATCTCACCGATATGAAGTCAAAATCCCAAAAACCTGGTTAGATCTGAAGACTTTTATACAGTTTTAACAAAGTACGGTATAGTGTAGAAAAGAGAAAAGACAAAGGGGGCTTTGGGCTTCTTCGGGAGGGATGGATAAATTGTGAGAGGGTGACAGGATGTGTATGGTATATTCTTCTTGCACTACTATAAAGAAATACCTGAGACTAGATAATTCATAAAGAAAAGAGGTTTAATTGGCTCACAGTTCTGCAGGTTGTACAGGAAGTATGGCTGAGAGGCCTCGGGAAACTTCCAAACATGGCAGAAAGCAAAGAGGATGCAGGAACATCTTGATACGGCCAGAGCAGGAGGAAGAGAGAGAGCAGGGAGGTGCTACACACTGTTAAACAACAAGATCTCTAGGCGGATGGTGCTAAACCATTAGAAACTGTCCCCATGATCCAATCACCTTCCACCAAACCCCACCTCCAACTCCAACAATGCAGATTACAATTTGACATGAGATTTGGGTGGGGACACAGAGCCAAACCATATCATATGATAAATAAGGATTATTTAGTAAGCCTTGTTACGTAGTCTACAGTAATTCTCCTCTTCCTACAAGAAAGGAGTATACCTTTACAAATGACAATTTCCTTTAAAATAGAAATGCTATTTCTTTCCTTACAGAAAGGAAATACATGCTGGGATTTTAGGCAGGAAGGGGGAACACAGGGTTTCCTCCAATGTTTGCTGCTTCTCAATTGCCTTCAGTTCAAAATACTTTGCATACCAAAGTGGCAATTTTTGGTAAGGGCATATAATGATCCCCTTGACAAGAGTCAATTTAAAAAGTGCAATGTTTTCTAAACAATGGTGAGAATCCAATTTAAAAGATGCAGTAGATTTATTTCCCACAAAAAGGCAGAAGAGCAAGAAGAAAGAATCTCTGGTTTAAGGTAAAGTGATTTCAGTCTTATAAGCAAAGGTTTTTTATAACAAAATTAAGATGTGAATCTTTAGGGGCCACAGTCTGCTGACTCCCTAGTACGACTCTTAGCAACTCATCACTTCCTCTAATTTGCAGTGGCAGCAGGAGAAAAGACTGTGAGTACCAGAGATTTCTGGAGGGAATTCCAGGTCCAGGCTTTTCAGAATGCCCAAGTCAACAGCTACTGCTTTTCAGGAATCTGGAAAATAGCTCCAACTTTCTTCTAAATGCATTGTTTCCTGTCTTTCTGATTTTATTTTTGGCGTCTTTTGTGCCTGAAACATTCTCACCAACTGCCTGTATCATAAATCTTCAAGATGAAACTGAAATGTCATTTTCTCACTGAAGCCTTTCTTAATCTCTCCTAGTGAGTTCTTCTCATGGTATCCCCACAACATTTTGTATACTCTCTATTCTGACACTGGCACCCAACTAAAAGGGATATTGATGTGAATTTGCACCTTGTACTAACTTCCATGAAAAGTCTGATTATTTCCAGCAATTTATCCTACTTATTTCCCTTCTTGTCTCCCACCCTATGCCTATCCTCTAGCCTGAAGGACAATTTCTATTCTTTTATTATTTTGATCCTTATTGTATATAACATTCTGAAGAAAAGTAGGGATTAATGTGGTGACTATTTTGTCCACAACTTTGCCTTCTGACCTCAGGCCATCTCTCCACTTTCTCCTCCAACATTTATTAAGAATAAAGCCCTGTCACTCCTCCAAGTAGCAAAACAAGACAACTCCATTTCTTCTCCATGGTTTGCTAAGAAGGGAAAAACAGAATCTTAGCCAGATGTTAAGAAGAATAGAGCCAGGAAGGAAAGAAACTTCTTCCACAGGGATGTGGAATTAGGAAGCAGAAACCTTTTGTTTTCTAACTTTCAAGATAAAGGTACAAAACTGTGAGAGTTTAGAAAATGAAATAAAATTATATTTAACTACAGCCTACACAAATAGCTTTTGAAGAGATTCAGTATATTCATATAAAAGCTTTCAGGCTTGAACTGCCTTCCAGAGTGTAGGCCTGGTGAAAATAGTTCTTTCAGTGTGTGTTTAGATATGTTGATTGAAGTTACCCACAATACCTTAGTGCAAACTGAAGGAGCTCACTAGTTAAATATGTCATTTTCTTCAAACGCTGTCTTTATTTGCTGTCTTCTATTTCAAATTATCACAGTAAAAATTATCTCAACCCATAACAGAAATTTCTATTGTGTGATTTTTAGTAATAACAACCTTATATTGTGAATTTCTTCAAATTCTGTTTTTTAATGGTGTGTTACAAGTTCTCATGGGAGAATTCTAGTGCATGAACAACTTCTGTGATGAAATCACCATGACTTTTTCTAAATACCCAAAATAGAATTCTTGAAAATATTTTCCCCTTTCTCTTTCCAAAGGAGAAATAACTTCAAGTGCTGTTAGTGATGCCATTAACTTCACATAAAACAATTCCTAATGAAAAACACTTAAATATTTACAAGAGCATATTTAGAGCATTTTTCAGTGCCGAATTGTGTCTATATAAGGCCACATATTCATATAGCCACTTTAGAATTTACAGGGATTATGTTAAAGACTCCAATACCTTTTTATTTGCACATAGTGTTTTGCAAATAAATATACCTTGTTTTGTGACACTTGAAAATTAAATTCTGTTGAAAAGAAAAACTGTAGTGAAATTAAACAGTTTAATTCAGCAAAGAATGATTTGTGGATTGTGTAGCCTCCAGAACCAGAATAGATTCAGAACGACTCCTGGGCTGTCACATGGTCTGATAGCATCTAAGGACAGAAGAAGGAAAGTGACATACAGAAAATAAAAGTGAGGTACAGAAAGAGCTAGACTGGTTATAGCTGGATGTTTGCCTTATTTGAACCTGGTTTGAACAGTTGGCTAGCTATGGTTGAAATTCAGCCACTGTGATTGGCTGAGACTTGTCTACTTGTTACAAGAGTAGGTTACAGTCCATCCACACATCAAGTTAAATACACTATGTATGAAGAAACTTTTAGGATAAACCTAATTTAACAATTCTAAGTAATCTGAGGACAAAGGGAATATCTAAAATTCCTCTCTTGCTTAGTACCATGCTATGTGCAGAACTTTAGCTTAAAACACATTAGTATTGAAAAATAAGTAAACAATTATTGCATAGTTTGTTAAGTACAGATTGGTAAACATAATGGAAGAAACATAGGAAGAAGCATCATGCGGGGAGGGAGAGGAGATAGGATTCGTTAGGAAAGGGAATCAAATCTTTTTTAGCAGAATATTGAAGGTAGAACACAATCTTCCAGGACATAGAGCAAAGAGTATTCTTGAATACCTGAATAACACCCACAAGGTCTTGGAGATGTGAAAAGATCTGGTAAGTTGAGAATCCAAAATTCATGGGAGAACAGTTGGAGAGTGAGAGATGAGTAGAAATGTGTGGTTGGACAAAGTTGTAAAGCTTTTCTGAATAAGCTGAGGAGACTGTTGTTCACCTGCAGCAGAAGAATTGGAATTAGCACAAGGTCCACAGCATCTGGCTTGTGTTAAATGTTAACTAGCTCACTTTACACTAAATCCCAGGGTGAATAAAATGTTTATTCCCCTGGTAGAATAGGAAATAAAAGCCAAAATCGTGGGCCTTCATTGCTGCTGTTCTTTTCATTGTTTGTTTTGTTTTGTTTTGCATTGTATATCTTCAAATAGTTTTAGAGTTTTCTTGGTTTTTTTTTTAAGGTAATGAATAATAATCAAAAGCTGCACTCTTTTTTGTGAATCAGCCAGAATATGATGGATTCAGGTTAGAAAAGGCAATTAGTAATTACGTTAACAAAACAAAACCAAAAATCCCTGAGGTTAGATAGTTCTAGTAGCATTGAGTGTTCATCCAGTGCTTGTGGAGTGGCTCACACTTTTTTTTTTCTTTTTTAGCAGTTAGTTAGCTGTCGGATCAAGTGCTGCCCAGTGTTACCACAAAAACTCTCACCAAACAAACTCAAGAAAACTAGGTCAGTCCTTGGAAACTGCCCAACTATGAACTGGGCCAGGCCATCTAGGATGGGGCAGCGGGCAGTACCACCCTGACACTGACAAGTGTGTTGCCTCTTGTAAAGAGCTGTTTGCCCATCCTGCCACACATAGCCAGGATACACAAATGGGGGGGCACAGATGTGCAATGGAAGCAAACAAGTGGTCAGCCCTACAATGCTGAGATTCTATTTACATGCTTTTTGTATCATGTCTTTATTATATGCAATACTTGGAAACTTCACATTGCTACTATATTTTTTACTATGATTCATTAGCTTGAACTTTCAAACAACCCATACAGCTCCTTGATATGTTTGTAACTCTCTTGGCTTTCAATTTCACAGTATTCCCTGAAGTTAACTGTGATGCTATTTTATGTTTCTAAAGACAGCATATTTCTCCCTAGGTATACTAATACTGAACAACTGACATACATTGTAATTTCATGGGGTGAAATGAGCTATTCTCAGGTCCTAGGTTGTTCAGCACAACAGTTTCCAAGTGTTCACACCTTTTATTCTCTACATCTATTATTATAATTTTCTTCGGACAATCACAAATGACTGAAATTATGAGAACTTGAAAATATTTGACAAAAGGTTATATCCCTATGCTTCTACAAAAGTACTAAAGAGGGTTTGTACATAGATTCCACTCAGACTTAAGGAGAAAGAATAAGGTAAATCGAAAAGAAGAAAGCTCTTACAAGCAGACCAATGCATCATTCTATCATCATCACCATCATCATTGTCATTATTATCATCATCTTCACTATGAATATATTTTGCCATACTAATACTGAAAAAGTTTCACATTAAAATAAGATACCACTTTTGACTCAACAAATATTTAAGTAAGAATATGGCCATGGGTTTAGAAAATATGCATTCCTGTTCTGCTGGAGAAAGGGTAAACTTGAGAATCATTGAGGAAATCAGTTAGAAAGTATGTAATACAAATGATAATTATTAATATTAAAATAATACAGTTTAATATAATTAGTAAGCATAATTAATTTTAAAATTATTCAACACAAATAACCAAAAAGGCAAAGATTATAAAAAGTATTTGTTACAAATATAGAATGAACATTCCTGCGTTACTATGGGGAAAATGGACATAATCCAAGTTTTTAACAGTAAAAGATTGGTTAATTATGCAACCATAAGATGTGTAGTTTTTAATATAAGTTTCACCATAATGATACGTATAAAAGGATATAGTATTGTACATACACAATTATAACTTTAAAATTTGCATGTTTTGTGCAAAAGTATATATATGAAAAATACTATACCACTATATTGGCTGTGGCTATCTTTTGGGTATAAATAGTTGGATTACGGATAATCTTTTTCTTTCTACTTAAATCATTTTATATTGCTTTTTAACCCTAAAAACAACAACAAAAAAGATAGTAAAGATTTTTAAAGAACAACTTAAGGATATTTTTATAGATATCTAAACCAGTTGCTAGCTGGCTATTGTCTAAATACTAATGCCTGACTTGGTCAACACAAGGAAATTCACTCACTTGTGAGTAACGATCTAACAAAGCTTATAGGAGTCAGTAGCTTACGTTGGCTTTTGACATAAACTGTGTAGTATGAAAAGGTAAGTATCTAATAATAGAGGCATTGTGAATTGTCCTTGAAGTTCTTAGGCTTGAAGAACCTTACTCTGATGCTCTGAAAATATTGATGCCATGCTTACTCCCCAGAGAGGTAATGAGTTTAAAGTGGGGACTAAGAGTAGGAAATTTTTAAAGCTCCCAGATGTGTTTAACATGCAACCAGAGTTAATAATTTGGGGGATAGACAAGAGCTGCTCAAAGTGCGGTGTTGATCTCAAACTGTTCCTTACAGTCCACAGTGAGATTTATTCAGAAATTAGTAGTGAGATGAGTTCTGCAATTGAGAGTGACCATTTAAAAATGTTTATATAGAAATTTGACTTTGCCATGACATCCAAACAAGTGACTAGTAAACAACTCTCATTAAACAAGTTACAGACTAGCCTAAGTGCTTTTGAGCTCACTTGATGAACCACATGTAAATACCTCCTATCAGTCTGTGATGAAGTGAAAAAAAAAAAACTAAAAATAAAAACTGATCCTTCAGGACACAGGTTTATGTGCCTACCTTCCCAGCTACATTGTCAGTTATTGAGTATCACCCATAGAGCTTAGTACAAACTATACCTACAGCAGGTACTCCAAATACTTCCTGAATTGTAATGAATGATGTTTTTTTTTTTTTTCCATTTAAGAAGATAACTGACTTTTAACAGGAGCCATTAGTGTTGTGATGTCTTTACAATAAAATAATTTACTTAGGACAGTGGAGGTTTCCGTTATTATAGTTAAACTGACCTGAAATGCTTTGCAGCAGAACAAGCTTCTTCATGCCCTTTAAGTGATCTTATGTCTGTTCTCTTACTTAGTTGATGTATTTGTAATGTATCATCCCTTACTGGCCCAGGTCCACTGACTCCATTGCAGCAAGAATGGGGGGATTCTGACAAGTCCCATCAATGGCAGCCTTTGGCCATAGGTCACCTGTCTCAGCTTTGTAAGGATCATACATAGACCTGCACTGGCTCCACCTAATCAACACTCGCCTCCCACTCTCACTTTTGGACATTTGAGTTTGGAAGACATTCACCAAGCACTAAAAATGGGAGTGTCAAAACCACAGATTTTGCTGAACAAATGCCCTCTGTTCTACGCTTCACAAGTTTGTTCAGATCTAAGATAACATTGTCATAGAAATCCAAGTCTGAGTCTTCATGAACTGATGTGTGATTTACCAAGGCTAAACTGTCTTCTAGCATCAGCTTTAGTTATGCACAATAATTGGCCTCCATGATTGTAATCTGATAGATGTGTGCCATGGATAGTCACCTTTGTTGACAAAGATGGCAAAGATTGGTTTTATGGAATATCTGGGAAAGCCAAAGAAAGGAAGAACTTGTTATATTTGCATGTGCATCTTTTTGCACACTGTGTATAGATAAACAGGTGAAGAAAGAATGTTGCAATATGTGTCAAGACTATTGCAATATGGGAGAGGAAAAGGGCTCAACTCAGAATATAGCATGGATAACTGGAGACTTATAATGAATAGGCAGAGTTGGTGGGAGTTAATGGATGAAAAATTACATAGAGGAGACATCAAGAGTAGGAGCATTCTTGCTAAACCAACTTGACAGGATTCTTGCTTGACGTAGCAAGATATCAAGGGTGAGAGGATTCTCCCTACACTGACTTAGCAGGATTCTTTCTAAAACTGGGCTAGGAAGGCCCAAGACAAGACCTAGTTGAGAGAGGGCTCAGAAGACCCTGTCTAAAGTTTGGTCAAGAGTTCCATAAAAGGTGTATATATGCTTATATGTATATGTTTGCATATATAATAAACTCTCTAAAATAAACATACTTATTGAGAAGTGTAGGAAATACAGAATACTTAGAGTGAAATATGTATCATTCCAGCACCCAAGGGAAACATTTTTTCATCCATTATGCTTCCTTTCCGTATTTTAATCCATAAATATAGATTTAAAAGCATAATAATAGTAAACAAATTCAAATATCAAAAAAAAGAGAATTTCAAAAAAAGACCAAAACTGTTCTTAGCTGTACACCAGTTCTGAGGACAGGATTCATAACCTACACCATCCCTGACAGCACCTTGCAGATGAAAATGTTGATTTAAGGGCAATTGTCTCCGATGAATTTTACCAATGTGTGACAATTACCCAAGTTCCTGGGCTGAGAAGCAGCCCTGCCTGCTCTGAAAAGTTATAGTGCCCAGTAGTCCTCAAAATTCCTCATTCGTTACCCAGAGTGAGATGAAGAGGTAAGCTTTGGGGATGGTAGGGTGGGGATTGGGTACAGAAAGGAGAACAGGAAGATTTTGCACACCAATTTGAAGCTTGCAAAACAGAAGGGTATCAGTTTAAGTTTTTGGCTGAAATAAACCAGCATTCTGATGTGTTTCTTTGCATGGTTGCTGTGCTGAGTATTTAACTCAGGATCTGTTGCAACAGCTTCCTTGGCTGTCAGGTGAAGATAATAATACCTACTTTCCTAATTCATAGATGTTTTGTAATGATAACATAATTTACAGGGCTGAAAATGTTTACAATATTAAATACACTGAGATACCATTCATGTAATTTATAGGAGATTAGATAGTAAATATTTTAGGCTATGTGGATCATGATGTCTCCGTCACAGCCCTTCCACCCTGCCTTTAGGGTGTGAAAGCAGCCATAGACTATAAGTGACCAAAAGAGCATGCCTCGCCCCAATAAAACTTTACTTATGGACACTGAATATAAATTTCACTTTCACATTCACTTTATGTGTCATTATTTGCTCAGCACAATTTATTTCCTCAGCCACATTTTAAGCTACTAGAGGGTAGAGCCTAACTCATCCTTTTGTGCTAGGCAGATATTAGATAAATATTGAACGATAGATCGATAGTGCTAGGCTATGTTTTGGTTAAAGAACCATAGAAAAGAAAAGGTGTCTTGTAGAAGTCTTGCTTCTTCTTTGATGTAAGAAATTCACAGTAAGTCATGGATGAGGGATTGGGATGCCAACAGCCACCTCTACATTTTTTTGTAAACACAGAAACAATGCCTCTTAAGATCACAGTGATAACCCCTTTAACCTGTGTGCTTTGGAGAACAGAACGACCAGAAGAAATGACTTAGGTCTCCAGGAGAGCAAGCAATCAATGTCAAGAAAAATGGTTTTATTACAAACTGAGCTGCTGAGAAATTTCAGTTCCCTGTTGCTCCCTGAGGCCAACCATAGGGACTCAGGGCTCCGCAAGCTCACGTACGGGCCTGCAAGATGCAACACTTCCTAGGATGAGAAGTAACAAGCCTCCTCGGGGAATGAAGGCAGAAAATCTCTATTTAAGGGAATCATGAAGTAATCTCTTCTCCAAAGAGTTGAGAGACACGTACCTTACTTGACTGGAAATTGTGAGCAAATAAAAACAATATGTGAGCGAGAATCATTGTTTACTGCTTCGACTTCCAGTCGGGAGGCTGGGTAGATGGCTCACCATGATGCCAATGAATAATATATGACCTCCACACTGTGTCCTCTGTCTTTTTAGGAGCATCATAGGCCAATGAGTAGAATGTCAGGCCAGGGGAAGTGGCTGGAGCTATGACAGCCTCATATTTCTTCCTTGGAGGGGCATTACCCTATATGTAGAGGAAAGGAGATTCTTGTTTGGTGACACAGTGAACTGCAACTACTTCTCCAACTCTTCTGCCAGGGATAATAATGAAGTAGACATGATTCAGGAATGTTGTTCCTTAAGGATGCTCAGGAAACAATTCTTTATCATTGCAACTCTCTATGTGGAGGTACAGAGGTAAGAAGACTGCTCTTGTTCCCATAGACCTTTGCTGTATCTTTGAAATAATATTCTTGCTATTCTGACCCTAATGAAAGGTAGCAGAATATGCCACCCAACATATGCCACTTTGCAATGAAGGATTATTTGACCTAAATTCAACTGAGAAGAAGCAGATATAAGAAATGCTTTCTGCCCTCCCCTTATTTGCCCAAAAGAAGAATATAAATTTGTAAAGTTATCCTCCCACCTCCTTATAAGGAAAGACAGAAGTTAATCACTGGCAACAACTTATCAGCCCTAAATTGACACCGGAGGAATTGACATAAACTTTTAACCAGTTTGGGAGACCAGAATATGTCTTCCCAAAAGATGACGGATTGTTGAGCTGAAAACAGTTAAGAAGCAGATACAAGAAAGCTCTTTGCCTTTCCTCTATTTGCCAAAGAGCAAGACACATATTGGCAAAGACAGAAGACATCTCACCTCCCCTGTCTACCAAGGAATAAAAGATTAACCACCGAAGACAACTTTGGACATTTATCTGCCTGGAGATGATACCAGAGGAATGTACATTAGCAAGCTTTACTAACTATATTCTTTATTGAAGATGCTATATATACTGGATTTGAAGCCACCTTTCAGAGTACAGCTCATTCCCTGGGTGTCTCCAATATATGTATGAAATATACATGTTAATAAACTTCTATTCGCTTTTCTCTTGTTGATATTTTGTTACAAAGGTCAGTACTGCCTAAGAACTTATGGGGTTGACTCTTCCTTCCACTACACCAGTTTTTATCTACCATTGCTTCCCCATACGTTTGCCTTCCCACCATGTTTTTACCCTAGAAACAAAGTCCTTTTCCTTTGTCTTGTAATTTATCTAAAAATTTATCATTTTTGTTAAGATTTTATATAAACCCAAGTTCTAACCATGCCTTTGAGTTATTCATTACTGTGTACTCCCATGTGTATTTGATGAACATATTAATGAAGTTTTGTTTTTCTCTTGATAATCTTTCTTTGATCAGTTTAATTTTATGGAGCTCCAACCAGAGAACCTAGGAGGGTAGAAGAAAAACATCTGTATTGAAGGGTGGAAGAGACATACAGGAAATTAAGCCAATTATCTAAAAATGACTTCATGACAAAAAAAAGTCTGGAGCATAACTCTTGCATTCTCAACTAAAATATCTATTGGTTTAAAAGCACTTGTTTAGAGATCTAAGTTAGATTTCTAAAAGAATCTTTATCAGACACTTCACAATTCGTCCCCCACTCCTAGTTTTCTCTCTAGTTAAAATGCCCTTCATAATCTATGCTTCAAACACATTACACTTCACATGTTCTTGTTCCGGAATAAATTCTAGTAGAGTATACATGCTGTATAGACTTTGCTCCAGTAGTCACAGCACACCTACACCCATGCCCTTTAATGATTCCTTTGATCAAAGAATCTAAAATCCTGCCACGTATCTGAATGCATTTCAAGCACAGGAGGTACTATCTGGAAGTGTCTCAGCTTCTAAGTTACCTGTCTCAGGGGTTACATATAAAATTCTAATGTTTTGTATCCACATAGGATTATATGAACCCCATCAAATCACCCCTAATAAGTTCCCCCAATCCTCTCTTACCTTTCTTATCATTATATTCAAGATATATATCTCCTAAGGTATCAAAAGGTCAAATTTGATATTCTACTATCTACTTTAAAGCATGAGATTCAGATCATCTGTATTATCATGGTTTAACTATCAGGCCTTAGATCTGAAAGTACCTAGGTCAAATGGATTTTCTATTCTCTCCAGAAAATCCTGACCTAACAAGATGAGGCTGTAAACTGATAAATATTTTGCTGTCTTCAGGAAACTTCATCAAACAAATATATCTGTACAAACAATTTAGTTATCTGGATAAATAGTTCTTCTATCAGAACAGATTTTTTCATCTGCTTGCTTATCGAAGAAGAGTTAATTTATCAAGAGTGGTTAATTTATCAAGTGTGGTTTATCATCCTTACTATATCAATTATAAACTATTATGCCATGAATTTTACCTACCTACAAACAACTGTATACCTTGAAAGACTGATCTTAAACTATTTGACACCAGAGCCCCTAACCTTAAAACTATCCCCTCCTGATCCCCTGTTCTGAGACACTGTGATTCTACTAAGGTGGTATTTTCTCTTTTTTAAATAGGTACAATAAAGCTAGCTTTGCTTGATCAATAAACTCTTGTGGTCTTTTGGGAAATTCAGCATTTGATAAACATATGGAACTAAGAAACCTTATTCACCTCCTTTCACTTTTCTTTTCCTAACTCTACTGTATACTTGGGCTTTACTCAATGTATAGCCTAATAATAATTGTATATAGTTAATAGCATTAATTGTCTTAATTCTTACAACCACTCAGTGAAATAGCAACTATTATTGTTCTAGTTTTAGAAATAAGAAAAGAAAAGCATAAAAATTTTAATAGTTGGTGGGCTGGGATTTGAACTCAGGCAGGATGGATCCAGAGTTTTGTTTTTTAGCCACCATTCTATTTTTCCAGGGACCATTATTATTATTGAACTTGACATTTCAAGTTTCTGTTGATTCTTTTATCAGTTGTTACAAGGCCACTAGGTTTGTGCCCATTGCATGGTAACGTACTAATACCCTGAAACAGCAGGAATAGCAGCAGAGAAAGAGTTTAATGGTTGAATGGTAAAGCAGTGAAGAGATGGGAGGGAACCTAAAATCTGCCTCCCCAAGGAGTTTTGGACTGAGATTTTTAAGGGAATTTTCACAGGTATGGGGCTGAGGAGTTGGGGGCCACTGATTGTCTAGGGTGTGGGGGATGAAATAACAAAGGTGTAGAAACTGCATTCTTACATTGAGTCAGTTTTCAGACAAGCTGGCATCAGTGAACCCACTGGAATGCAGAATCTGAAAAATATCCCAAATGGAAACCTTGGAGTTTCTTAGCATTAAAGATGTTATCTATAAAAGGACCTAGTGAGAAAAGTTTTGTAACTTTTAGCAGTAAGCAGCTATAGAGAAGTAGGCTATAGGGAAAGCTGGTAATGCTTATCTATGCTTTTACTAAAGTTTAGTTTTTGTTAAAAACCTAGCAGTTTAGTTTTATTAATTTTATTAGAATGGTTTCACAGGTACTCTCAGAACTGTGTACTGATGTCTGTTGGCACTAAAAATCTAACCATAAAAACTATATGGAGTCTCAAGCCCCTCCGAACTCTTGAGTTAAATCAGAAATGATAAGAAACCACAATGCATTTAATCAACAATGCATTAAAATGCATGTTCTAATTCCTCTGTGAGCTTATCTTTTAATCTCCACAATATTACAAATAACACTATCACACCTCTTTTTCAATTCATTATTGGATCTAAACCATATCACTTAATCATTAATGAACATCTAGTATATTCATTCTAACAATAATAAAGTAAGATTCTGGCTTCAAATTCAATAACACTTACAATGACTCTCCCTCCTCAAAAAAAAAATTCCTCAACTCTTTCTGATTCTTTTCCAATGAATTTGCATTTAGGCAGTTTACCTGAAAGCTTTAATATTTCAGCTACATTGAAATTTCACTGAACATCAATTGTCTTATCTACATTAATGAAAGTGTCAGTAGCAGGACAATCCAAATAGTGGATAATTCTAAAACCCTTGCATTTGGCTTTGGGATGCAGTATCCTACGTGGAAATGGCCTCAGTTACTTCCCTAATACTACATGTTTCAGTCAAATACACAGTCACTGACAGAAGACAGGTAGAGATTGAGATGGGAAATGAACATTTATTACAAAAAAATTCCCCATAGAGGATCATTCTCAGACAAAAAATAGAAAAGAAGTCACTAGGAAGGATGAGTTTTGTCTCCTAAGTAGCTTATCTTTCAGATCTGAGGCCATAGAATTCATGGCTTAGCAAGAGAATTCTGGCTGCTTTGACTATTGAGAAACTCATTCACATGGTATTTTGCTGAAAGAAGGTTTATTGGAATTAAAAGCTGTTGTTTGCTTTAAAAAAATATATGAGAAGAAGTTTTTATGTGTCAATGAATTGGCTGAAACAAGGGAACACTCTCTGAGGGCAATATTAAATTCAACCTGAGGTACTCTGAAGGTTTACCTTGTTGTATTTATCGCAGGAAGATAGAGGGTTATTGAGGTTGAGATGAGGTGCATACCATATTGTCTTTTCTAATTACTTTACAGAGAGCAGTGAAAGTCATGGCCCTGGCATTCCTGGCCACCACCGCCTTGCTCCAACTCTTGGGCATTTGTTCCTTGGAGTGAGATAATTGAGACCTTTATGTAGTTTTGAGAAACACTTGTCATGAAATACTGTAAAAATGTGTCGAGAAATATACTTATTGAAGTATTTATTTTGTTTTTTGTCAAGAAAAACTGAAAATTTAGTTTATTTTACAAATACGAAGTTTCCTATTAAAAAAAAAAAAAAGAAGACTCATCCTAGAGCAAACATGAAAGAATTCAACCCAAGCAGCTACCTCTCACATGTTCCTCTGTGCACTAACCAACTTCTTTGTGGGAGTAAAGCTAATTTACTCTTTAATAAATATTATTAGTGAGTCTGGTATAACACATGTGCCTATGTGCTTAGCCAAATCTATGTTTTGCTAAAGATGTTTCTTTTTTATCTCTCTTTCTTAAAATTTTATTTTAGGTTCAGGGGTACATGGGCAGATTTGTTCCATGGGTAAATTGCATTACCTGTGGGTTTGGTGCACCGATTATTTCATCACCCTGGAGATAAGCATAGTACCCAATAGGTAGTTTTCCAATCCTCACTCTCCTCCCACCCTCCACCCTCAAGTAGGCCCTGGTGTTTATTGTACCCTTTTTTGGGTCCACATATATTCAATGTTTAGCTCCCACTTATAAGTGACAGCATGTGGTATCTGGCTTTCTGTTCCTGTGTTAGTTCACTTAGGATAATGGCCATGGGTTTCATCCATGTTGCTGAAAAAGACATCATCTTGTTCTTGTTTACAGCTGCATCATATTCCATGGTGTACATGTATCACATTTTCCTTATTTAGTCCACTGTAGATAGGCATCTAGGTTGATTCCGTGTTTTCGCCATTGTGAATATAGTGCTGTGATAAACATGCGTGCGTGTGGTTCTTTACGGTAGAATAATTTATACGCCTCTGGATATCTACCCAACAATGGATTGGTGCATCAAATCATAGTTCTGTTTTAAGTTCTTTGAGAAATCACCAAACTACTTTCCATATTGTCTGAACTAATTTACATTCCCAACAGCAGTGTATAAGCATTCCAGGTTCTCTGCATTCTCACCAGCATTTGTTACTTTTTGACTTTTTTATAATAGCTACTCTGATTAGTATGATATGCTATCTCATTGTAGTTTTGAATTTCACTTTTTAATGATTAATAATGTTGAGCATTTTTTGTATTCTTGTTGTGAGTACACATATCTTCTTTTGTAAAGTGTCTGTTCTTATAATTTGCCCACTTTTTAATGGGATTGTTTATTTTTTTTGGTTTGGTCAGTTAAGTTCCTTACAGATTCTGGATATTAGACCTTTGCTGGATGCATAGTTTGCAAATATTTTCTGCAATTCTGTAGGTTGTTTACTCTGTTGCTGGTTTCTTTCACTGTGCAGAAGCTCTTTAGTTTAACTGTCAATTTTTGTTTTTGTTGCAATTGGTTTTGACATCTTTGTCATGAAATCTTTCCCAGGGCCTATGTCCAGAATGGTACTTCCTAGGTCATCTTCTAGTGTTTTTATAATTTTAAGTTTTACCTTTACATCTTTAATTCATCTTGAGTTGATTGTTGTATACGGTGAAAAAAAAGGGATCCAGTTTCAATCTTTTGCATATGGCTAGCCAGTTATCCTAGCACCATTTATTGAATAGGTTGTCTTTTCCCCTTTGTTCGTTTTTGTCAGTTTTGTTGAAGATCAGATGGTTGTAGATACGTGGTTTTAGTTCTGGCTCTCTATTTTGTTTCACTGGTCTATGTGTCTGTTTTTGTATCAAGATCATGCTGTTTTGGTTACAAGTCTACTTGTAATCAAAGTAGTAACCTTGTAGTTTGAAATACGATAATGTGATACCTCTGGCTTTGTTCTTTTTGCTTAGGATTGTTTTGGCTATTCAGGCACTTTTTTGGTTCCATGTGAATTTTAGAACAGTTTTTTTCTAATTTTGTGAAAAATGTCATTGGTAGTTTGACAGGAGTAGCACTCAATCTGTAAATTGAGTTTTGGGCAGTATGGCCATTTTAGGAGTATTGATTTTCCTATTCATGAGCATAGAATGGTTTTTCATTTGTCTGTGTCAACTATGATTTCTTTCAGCTGTGTTTTGTAAGTCTTGTTGTAGAAATCTTTTAACTTCCTGGTTAGCTGTATTCCTAGGTATTTTATTTTTGTGTGTGTGGCTATTGTGAATGGAACAGAGTTCTTGATTTGGCTCTCGGCTTGGATGTTGTTGATATATAAGAATACTATTGGTTTTGTACATTGGTTTTGTATCCTGAAAGTGTACTGAAGTTGATTATCCGATCTAGCAGCTTTGGGGCAAAGAATATGGGGTTTCTAGGTGGAGAATCATATCTGTAAACAGATAATTTGACTTCTTCTCTTCCTATTTGGATGCCTTTTATTAATTTATGTTGCTTGATTGCTCTGGCTAGATCTCCCCATACTAAGCTGAATAGGTGTGGTGACAGTGGGCACCCTTGTCTTGTTCTGGTTCTCAAGAGGAATGCTTCTAGCTTTTTCCTATTCAGTATGATGTTGGCTGTGGGTTTGTCATAGATTGGTCCTTTTTTTTTTTTTCTGAAGTATGTTTCTTCAATGTCTGGTTTGTTGAGAGTTATTAACATGAAGGGATGTTGAATTTTATTGAAAGCCTTTTCTGTTATCTATTGAGATGATCATGTGGTTTTTGTTTTTAGATCTGTTTACGGGATGAATCACATTTATTGATTTGCATATGTTGAACCAACCTTGCATCCCAGGTATAAATCCTACTTTATCATGACAGGTTAGCATTTTGATGTGCTGCTGAATTTGTGTTGCTAGTATTTCATTGAGGATTTTTGCATAGATGATCATCAAGGATATTGGTCTAAATTTTTTTGTGTTGTTGTTGTGTCTCTGCCATGTTTTGTTATCAGGATGATACTGGCCTCATAGGAAGAGTTAGGGAGGAGTCCCTCTTCCTCAGTTTTTCGGGAAAGTTTCAGTAGAAATGACACCATCTCTTCTTCATACATCTGGTAGAATTTTAGTGTGAATCTATCTGGTCCTGGGCTTTCTTGGTTGGTACTGACACCGATTCAATATTAGAACTCCTTATTGGTCTGTTCAGGGATTCAATTTTTTCCTGTTTTAATCTTTGAAGGTTGTATTTTCCATTAGTTTATCCATTTCTTGTAGGTTTTCTATTTTGCGTGCATAGAGGTATTTATAATAGTCTCAGATTTTTTGTATTTCTGTGAGGTTGGTGGTAATGTTCCCTTTGTCATTTCTGACTGTTTACTTGAATCTTCTCTTTTTCTTTGTTTAGCTGGTGGTCTTAGTTATTCTTTCAAAAACCAATTTCTGGTTTTGTCAATCTTTTGTATGATTTTTCACATCTCATTTTTATTCAGTTCTGTGCAGATTTTAGTTATTTCTTGTCTTCTGCTAGCTTTGGGGTAGGTTTGCTCTAGTAGGTTGTTAATATGAAATTTCTAACTTTTTAGTGTAGGTATTTAGACTTTTTTCTTAACACTACTTTACTTGTATCCCAGAGATTCTGGTATGTTGTATCTTTGTTTGCATTAGTTTTAAGAATTTCTTAACTCTGCATTAATTTCCTTGTTTACCCAAAAGTCATCCAGAAGCAAGTTAATTCCCATGTAGTCAATTTTAGAGTATGTGCAATGTGCAGATGAGAAAAATGTATGGCCTTTTGTTTTGGGGTGGAGAGTTATGCAGATGTCTGTTAGGTCTATTTGACCAAATGTCAAGTTGTTCCTCTGTCTACTCGCGATATCTTTCCTCTGAAGATTTGCTCTGAGTGTGCCAGTCTTTCTGATGGCCTGGTCTATTGGTCTGAAGTATTTATAAAACTTGCTCTAAAATGATTTTTTCCTGGTAGCAATAATACCTTCTTTAAATCAGTTATTTAAAAAATCTCTTTTAAGCAAGAAATCTTGGTTGACAACAGATTTAAAAATGAAGTTTGCTAGAGGGTATGTCAAATTTTAAGGACAGCGAGTGGTATTTAATTATCTAGAATAGCTAGCAGCCAATTAACAGCAGAAGGTGCTGCATGTTTCTGGATTTTGAAGAGGCTGAATCCCATTTCAAAAAAGAAAATGATTCACTTCTTAAATCATGCGCATTCTTATTTCTAACAAAGACACATCATTTATCTTAGCACTTCTTTGCCTCCACTACTGGTTTGTTTTCTTAGGCCTGCTCCTTAAATGTGTGTCACTCATTCTTGCTATTTTCTCTTCTCATTCTATGAACAATTTCCAAGTCAAGATATCAAGCCTTTTCCTAAGAGAAATCAGGGCTGACTTCCTCACATACGCGATGCTGAGCTGCAGGCATGCATAATGCATGGTATAATTCCATCATTTCTAGTAAGATGAATATAGCTTCAGCATTTCACACTCACTGTGCCCATACCAGTGGTATTTCACCATAACACCCTTCCCAGACACTTCTTTGAGTTCTTTTTTGACTAACAACACCACAAAGCATCCAGTTGTCCTCATTTGATATCCCAAATCATCACTGACTTCACTCTATGTATGCAGTTATTTCTGCTCTTTCTGCATTCTAAACACCTCTTGAATCCATGCCTTGCCACTGTACCCACTACTATTCCCTTTGTTTACAACACTCTCATCTCATGTGCACTGTTATAATCACCTCCCAACAGATATTTTTGCTTATAGAACTGACTTCTCACTTACAGTCTAGCTGCAGAATTACCAATCACTTGATCTTTCTAAAGAAAAACTTGAGTGCCTCATGTCCAATGCTTCAAAACCTTCACTAGCTCATTGTTGTGTAAAAGACTAAGTTCATATGCCTTCTCTAGACTTGTGAGGACCACATGGTTCCAACACTGGTGTGACTTCATTGTAAGTGAAATCCTATCAGGAAACTTCATCTCACTTTGCACCTCTGCTTTGTTTTTTTCTTGGTGTCATGAGTATTTGCACCTATCACACTTGTAACGTTTTCATGCATGTCATTTCCCCCTGCATGTAAACTTTACAGAACAGGAAATGTCTTAATTGTCTTTGCATTTTCAGAATCTAGCAGAATCTTGCCAATAGTAACCACTCATTTTTTAAATGAATGAATATATGCAATTATCTTCTGTTCCTCTCATGCTTTCTTATTTGAAAAGAAATAAAAATTTAAATATTAGAGGCAGAATAAAAATATACTGATATATATTTTAATTACATATTAATTAAATGTATTTTATTTTATATATATTTATATTTTAATTCCCAGGAAAGAGATTGAAAAAAGAGGAGAAATCATTCTTTCATCTGTGAAATCAGTACTATGCCTTATGTATTTTATACCGGTTATTGTATTACTAATTATAGTTTGGTCAGAACACTGTTATTATGCCTCCTATAATGTTGTTTATAAATATACGTTGTTTCTTAATTTGTAATTAAATCTAAAATGATCCAAAATTACCACACATCCTCAGTTTTATGCTTTTACTAGAATATACAAGTGTGTATATATATATATATATATATATAATGTGTATGTGTATATATATATGTATATTATATATATATACCCTGGGAATATATATTATATATTATATATATATATATAAATGATATTTAAACAGGTATTATGAAATAACATGTGGCCATTTAAAAATGAGATAGAACACAAAGGTTTGAAAATGCTATTATTAAATGTCAAAAGCCTTGGGCAAACATTGTGTATAAGATGATCCTGTTTATGGTAAATAAATTATTTACCACATGTTATTTCATCATACCTGTTTAAATATCCTTTATAATTACTCACTTTCTAATTCAACAGAATAACAAAAGGGGTCCCAAAAGTGATTTATTTAGTAATCCTCTACCAACGAATTCATCACTTGTTTCCAATTTTTTTGTCACTATGAAAAAATATTGTAATAAGCATTATGGTATACAAACCTTTGTAAATCTATGTAAATATATCTTTGTGGTCAATATCTTGTAGTGGGAAGGGTAAATAAAAGGGGCATACCCTTCAATATGTTATACATGTTGACAAATTGCATTCTAAATTTGCACACATTTACACTTCCCAATGAGAGTGTCTGTCCCCTTATCTTCACTTTCACTAGCAATGTCTAAGGGCATAGTTTCTGAGAGACTAAGTAAACAAAGAAGATAACATTTGAACTCAGACCTGTTTGTTTTCCAAAACTGTACTATTTCTAAAACACAATACAGTCTCTGTGTGGTTAAAGAAAGTCTAGATGATGCTTATATTTTATAGACATTCCTAGCATATTGAATGCTATCAAATATATGTTCTCATTTCATGTCTAACACCAATAAAAAGCAGATTCAAGGTGGCTAACTGACTTGCCTAAGGACGTGTAACTACCCATTCTCCTGCACTCTGCTACTTTCTTGTTCAGAGCTTATTCTGTAACAATCCACATGATCTTAGGCACACAACCTTTTTACCCCAAATTTCTGATTACTAAAATGAAAAAAAAAGTAAAGTGATCCAACTAGATGATATCTATGATAACTTGAAGTTTCACATTTTTTAAAAAATTGTATCCCCTTAGAGCAGGGATTAAAAAGTGGAATTCTATCTACTTCTTATATACTACCAGAAAAAAACATTATTTTTGTGGGTGTGTTTGTGTGTGTGTAAGGACAAGGGGAGGGTGTGATGAAGAGCGAATGCTCTTATAAGTGTTTTAAAAGAATTATAACTTTCCAGGTGTTACATTTGGTTGCAGTATATGAAGTTATAACCAACCGACACTTTGCTAGTATCATGAATTTCTGTTAACTGCATTCCAGTTGCAAGATTTTGAGTCTGAATATTCAACCACAAGTTTTAACAAGTTCTATTATGAACCCAAAAGTTTCCTTCAATGATGTAGAAGTAAACAAGATTCCCCATAAAACCACATGTTGATTAGGCAGAAAACATCAAAAATATGAATAACCAAAGATGAGCTAGAGTTATCAATTTGTACCCAGGGTATTTCTATTTCTTGAAAGTTTACTCTCTATCTCTAGCTTGACTGATCTAAAATTAGATATGTTTATATATTTTTTCAAGTTCTTTCATGTCCAAAAAAAGAAATTAAGGCCACAATTTTACTAGACCGTATTCTCAACTGAATCATTAGATCATGAGGTGGTCTTCAGTAGGTCACTTGAATACTTGTGTGTAAACTGAGGATAATGAACACTGTAAATATCACACATGTATTGTACTCTCTTATTTGGACAAAAATGACCAAATAAGAGAATTAGTACTAAATACACTACTCTTGCTATTCATTACTGTCTGCCGAGCCATTTACCCTTATAGAATTTAGGTTATAATCAAGAACAAAAATAACCTGGATTTGGAATAGTGCAAATTATCTTCTTAAATCCAAAGCAAATAAATTCTATGTTTATTAATTCTTGTTTTGGATTTGAAAGCAAATGAGAGCACATATTCAACAGCAAGAGTCTAATATCCTTCTCGATGTTCATTCTTATTTTCACTAAATAACTCAACGAATATTTATGAAATGCCTAGACTTTGTGGTACTCTGCTGGGTGCTGTGATATCTTTAGCCAATGTATTTTTTAAATTATAGTCTAATGTTTATATTTCTTCTTTGCCTTCTTATTTTGTTTTCCTTCCTTCAGTGGTTTTCTGGAAGACGGTGTCTTTCTACTCTACTAATTCTTGTCCAGGCCTTCATCATGTTATCCACAGTGTAAATCATCTCCTCTTTCACTAAAGCAAGAGGTAATTTTAATAAATATGCATTTGAGCAGCACTGGGAATAATGGCAGATAGGAGACAGGACTAAAGTGCAACTCCTGCATGGAGAGACAGAATAGCGTGTAGAGACCCACACTGTGAACTTTTGCTCCAAGAACCACCACAGGAACATACCACAAAAACAACATAAATTCACAGACCCTTTGAAAAAAGCACCTTACTGCTGCAAACTGTGACACAGCCAAAAAACTGAGTTTCCAAAGTGTGAGGTGGGGAAAAGGCTGCTTCTGAACATACATCCCTATTGTGGAACCTCAAAATACAGATCACAGGAGAAGGATTCAGCCTTACCTAGAGTTGAAATGTGTTTAGGGAGCTGAGCAAAATATAAAAGCCAAAGAAGCAGTAGAAAGAGCCCTGTAGGTAATCCTCATTCCCAGTGAAAGCCCAGGGAAGACATTTCTGGCCTTAATTCACAAGGGTCATTGGGAAGGGAAGGCAGTCAGTGGAAGTGGGGAGAGACCACAGGGTGAAGGAAGTTTCTAGATAAACTTTGTAATAATTTCGACTGAGCACAAATTTTCCCAAGCAGAATCCTGGAGTGTGAACAGGAAGTGAAGCTTTGAGTGCAGAACACATAGGGGAAGGTGCAGGCAGGTGGGAAGGGGTGAGGTCTGAGAGCCCTGCTTGCTTTCTCAGCATGGAGGCTTGTAGCCTGGGCAAGATTTCAGTGCTGCTCCACATTTGCCTGGACATAAACTCGGTGCTGTTGGGAGTAAGACTAGCCTTGCAGGCTGTGTGGGAGCTGGGTGAAGCCTGTCACTGCTGGCTTTCTCCACTTCTCTGGTGACCTGTATGACACAGGAGAGGTAGCCATAATCCCCCTGGGAACATAAGTCCATTGGCCTGAGAATGACCCCTCATCCCACACAATGACCGCAGCAAGCCCTGCCCAAAGAGTGAGCTCAGACATTCCTAATCCTGCTCCCACCTGATGGTTTTTCTCTACCCAACCTGATAGCCAAAGACAAAAGTCATAAACTCTTGGGAGCTTTATGGCTCTGCCCATCACCTGAGAAACCTGAGTACTTATCCTGGTCAACATAGGGCAAGATTATATCCTCCTTCTCTTATTGCAGCTGGTGCTTTCTTGAAAGTGTCACCTTCTGGCTGGAATCCAACCAACTCAAGTCATTACAGCAACTCATAACAGAACAACTCTGCTCCAAAGGAGAAAACAACAGCTACTTCCACTACCTGCAATACCCTGGCTAACCAGAGATCCTGAGTCTGTCCCCATGACAACTTCACTGCTAGCATAACCAGCATTTGAAAAAAACAGCACACTAAATAAAACTACAACAAAAGACTCCCACAGAGTCCCTGTCACTCCCCTGCCAGCTTCACCAGAGCAGGTGCTGGTATCCATGGCTGGAAGAACTGAAGACAGATGACAACACAGGACTTTTTGCACACACTCCCCAGCACTATCCTGGGTCCTAGTAGCCCATCTGGGTGGCTAGACCCAGAGGAGCAATAATAATCACTGCAATCTGGCTCTCAGGAAGCCCCATCCTTAGGGAGGGAGGAGAGCACCACACCAAGAGATCACCCTATGGGACAAAAGAATCTGAACAGAAGCCCTTGTGTTCCAGATCTTCCCACTGAAATAGTCTACCCAAATTAGAAGGAACTAGAAAAGTAATTCCGGTACTATAACAAAAGGCTCTATAATACCCCTGATAGATCACACTAAGGCTCTATAATACCCCCAATAGATCACACTAACTCTCCAGCAATGGAGCCACACCAAGAATAAACATCTGAGTAACCAAATAAAGAATTCAGACCATTGATTATTAAGCTACTCATAAAGGCACAAGAAAAAGTTAAAAACTGACTTAAAGAAATTTAAAAACAATATAGAATATGGATGAAAAAGTCTCCAGAGAAATAGATGTCATAAAGAAAAAACAGTCACAACTTCTGGAAATGAAAGACACATTTAGAAAAATGCAAAATACACTGGAAAGTTTCAGCAATAGAATCAAAAAGATAGAAGAAAGAAATTCAGAGCTCAAAGGCAAGGCTTTTGAATTAACACAATTTGACAAAGACAAAGAAAAAAGAACTAAAACATGAACAAAGCCTTCAAGAAATTTGGGATTATGTTAAACAACCAAACATAAGAATAATTGGTATTCCTGAGAAATAGAAAAGTTTGGAAAACTTATTTGAGGCAATAATCAAGGAAACCTTAACATCTAGACATTCAAATACAAGAAGCTCAAAAAACACACAGGAAATTCATCACAAAAAAGGTCATCATCTAAGCCCACAAAATAAAATAAAACATAGTCATCAGGTTACTTAAAGTCAAGATGAAGGAAACAATCTTAAGAGCTGTGAGGAAAAAGCATCAGGTAATCTATAAAGAAAAACCTATCATATTAACAGCAGATTTTTCAGCAGAAACCATGAAAGCCAGACAGGATTAGAGTCCTATCTTTAACCTCCTTAAACAAAATAATTATTAATCAAGAATTTTGCACCTAGTGAAACTAAGCTTCATAAATGAAGGAGAGAGAAAGTCTTTTCCAAATGAAGGCTGAGAGAATTCACCACTACCAAGCCAGCACTACAAGAAATGCTAAAAGGAGTTGTAAATCTTGAAACAAATCTTCCTCAGAATACTCCTAAATAAAATCCCTTAAAGCGGAAATGTCACAGAGCCTATTGCTGAGGCTTGAGTAGGTAAACAAAGCAGCTGGGAAGCTCCAATTGTGTGGAGCCCACCACAGCTCAAGGAGGCCTACATGCCTCTGTAGACTACACCTCTGGAGGCAGGGCATAGCTGAACAAGAGGCAGCAGAAATTTCTGCAGACTTAAACCTCCCTGTCTGACAGCTCTGAAGACAGCACTGATTCTCCCAGCACAATGTTTGAGCTCTGAAAATGGACAGACTGCCTCCTCAAGTGGGTCCCTGACCCCCATGTAGTCTAACTGGGAGGCACCTCCCAGTAAGGGTCAACTGACACCTCATACTGCCGGGTGTCCCTCTGAGATGAAGCTTCCAGAGGAAGGATCACTCAGCGATATTTGCTGTTCTGCAATATTTGCTGTTCTGCAGCCTCTGCTGGTGATACCCAGGGAAACAGGGTCTGGAGTGGACCTCCAGCAAACTCCAACAGACCTGCAGCTGAGGTACCTGACTGTTAGAAGGAAAACTAACAAACAGAAAGGAATAGCATCAACATCAACAAAAAGGAATTCCACACCAAAACCCCATCTGTAGGTCACCATCATCAAAGACGAAAGGTAGATAAAACCACAAAGACGGGGAGAAACCAGAGCAGAAAAGCTGAAAATTCCAAAAACCAGAGTGCCTCTTCTCCTCCAAAGGATTGCAGCTCCTCGTCAGCAATGGAACAAAGCTAGAAGGAGAATAACTTTGACGAGTTGACAGAAGTAGGCTTCAGAAGGTCGGTAATAACAAACATCTACAAGCTAAAGGAGGATGTTCCAACCCATCACAAGGAAGCTAAAAACCTTGAAAAAAGATTAGACAAATGGCTAACTAGAATAACCAGTGCAAAGAAGGCCTTAAATGACCTGACGGAGCTGAAAACCATGGCACGAGAACTATGTGACAAATGCACAAGCTTCAGTAGCCAATTCGATCAACTGGAAGAAAGGGTATCAGTGATTGAAGATCAAATGACTGAAATGAAGTGAGAAGAGAAGTTTATAGAAAAAAGAGTAAAAAGAAATGAACAAAGCCTCCAAGAAATATGGGACTATGCAAAAAGACCAAATCTACCTTTGATTGGTGTACCTGAAAGTGATGGAGAGAATGGAACCAAGCTGGAAAACTCTCTTCAGGATATTATCCAGGAAAAATTCCCCAACCTAGCAAGGCAGGCCAACATTCAAATTCAGGAAATACCGAGAACACCACAAAGATACTTCTTGAGAAGAGCAACCCCAAGACACGTAATTGTCAGGTTCACCAAGGCTGAAATGTAGGAAAAAGTGTTAAGGGCAGCCAGAGAGAAAGGTCTAGTTACCCACAAAGGGAAGCCCATTAGACTAGTAGCAGATCTGTTGGCAGAAACTCTACAAGCCAGAAGTAAGTGGGGGCCAATATTCAACATCCTTAAAGAGAAGAATTTTCAACCCAGAATTTCATATCCAGCCAAACTAAGCTTCATAAGTCAAGGAGAAATAAAATCCCTTACACACAAGCAAATGCTGAGAGATTTTGACACCACAAGACCTGCCTTACAAGAGCTCCTGAAGGAAGCACTAAAAGTGGAAAGGAACAAACAGTACATGCCACTGCAAAAACATGCCAAATTATAAAGACCATCGATGCTAGGAAGAAACTGCATCAACTAATGGGCAAAATAACCAGCTAACATCATAATGACAGGATCAAATTCACATACAACAATATTAACCTTAAATGCATTCCTATACACCAATAACAGACAAACAGAGAGCCAAATCATGAGTGAACTCCCATTCACAGTTGCTTCAAAGAGAATAAAATACCTAGGAATCCAACTTACAAAGGATGTGAAGGACCTCTTCAAGGAGATCTACAAACCACTGCTCAGCGAAATAAAGGAGGACACAAACAAATGGAAGAGCATTCCATGCTCATGGTTAGGAAGAATCAATATCGTGAAAATGGCCATACTGCCCAAGGTAACCTATATATTCAATGCCATCCACATCAAGCTACCAATGACAGAATTGGAAAAAACTAAAGTTCATATGGAACCGGAAAAGAGCCTGCATTGACAAGACAATCCTAAACCAAAAGAACAAAGCTGGAGGCATCACACTACCTGACTTCAAACTATGCTACAAGGCTACAGTAACCAAAACAGCATGGTACTGATATCCAAACAGAGATATAGACCAATGAAACAGAACAGAGCCCTCAGAAGTAATACCACACATCTACAACCATCGGATCTTTGACAAACCTGAAAAACAAGAAATAGGGAAAGGATTCCCTATTTAATAAATGGTGCTGGGAAAACCAGCTAGCCATATGTAGAAAGCTGAAATTGGATCCCTTCCTTACACCTTATATAAAAATTAATTCAAGATGGATTAAAGACTTAAATGTTAGACCTAAAACCATAAAAACCTAGAAGAAAACCTGGGCAATACCATTCAGGACATAGGCATGGGCAAGGACTTCATGACTAAAACACCAAAGCAATGGCAACAAAGACGAAATAGATAAATGAGATCTAATTAAACTAAAGACCTTCTGCACAGCAAAATAAACTACCATCAGAGTGAAAAGGCAACCTATGGAATGGGAGAAAATTTTTGCAATCTACCCAACTGACAAAGGGCTAATATCCAGAATCTACAAAGAAACAAATTTACAAGAAAAAAACAAACAACCCCATCAACAAGTGAGCAAAGGCTATGAACAGACACTTCTCAAAAGAAGACATTTATGCAGCCAACAGACACATGAAAAAATGCTCATCATCACTGGCCATCAGAGAAATGCAAATCAAAACCACAATGAGATACCATCTCACACCAGTTAGAAGGGCGATCATTAAAAAGTCAGGAAACAACAGATGCTGGAGAGGAGATGGAGAAATATGAATGCTTTTACACTGTTGGTGGGAGTGTAACCTAGCTCAACCATTGTGGAAGACAGTGTGGCAATTCCTCAAGGATCCAGAACTAGAAGTACCATTTGACCCAGCCATCCCATTACTGGGTATATACCCAAAGGATTATAAATCATGCAACTATAAAGACACATGCGGAAATATGTTTATTGTGGCACTATTCACAATGGCAAAGACTTGGACCAACCCAAATGTCCACCAATGATAGACTGGATTAAGAAAATGTGGCACATATACACCATGGAATACTATGCAGCCATAAAAAAGGATGAGTTCATGTCCTTTGTAGGAACATGGATGAAGCTGGAAACCATCATTCTGAGCAAGCTATCACAAGGACAGAAAACCAAACACCGCATGTTCTCACTCATAGGTGGGAATTGAACAATGAGAACACTTGGACACAGGAAGGGGAACATCACACACTGGGGCCTGTCATTGGGTGGGGGGATCGTGGAGGGATAGCATTAGGAGAAATACCTAATGTAAATGACGAGTCAATGGGTACAGCAAACCAACATGGCACATGTATACATATGTAACAAACCTGCATGTTGTGTAGAACTAGAGCTACACATGTTCCCTAGAACTTAAATTCTAATAAACGGATTTTAAAAAAGTCAAATACTTACAACTAACTGATCTTCAACAAAGCAAACAAAAACGTAAATTGGGGATAGGACACCCTATTCAACAAATGGTGCTGGGATAATTGACAAGCCACATGTAGAAGAATGAAACTGGATCCTAATCTCTTACCTTATGCAAAAATCAATTCAAATAGATCAAAAACTTAAATCTAAGACCTGAAACCATAAAAATTCTAGAAGGTAACACTGGAAAAAACTCTTCTAGACATTGGCTTAGAAAAGAATTTCATGACCAAGAACCCAAAAGCAAATGGAAAACAAACAAATAAAAGACAAAAAATGAAATAGATGGGACTAAATTAAACTAAAACTTCTTTTCAGCAAAAGAAAGAATTAGCAGAGTAAACACATCACCCATAAAGTGGGAGAAAATTTTTGCAAACTATGCGTTTGACAAAGGACTAGTATCCAGAATCTACAAGGAATGTAAACAAAAGGAAACAAACAATCCCATCAAAAAGTGAGCTAAGGACATGAATAGACAATTCTCAAAAGACAATATGCCAATGGCCAATGCAGACATGAAAAAATGCTCAACATCACTAATTATCAGAGAAATACAAATCAAAACCAGAATGCAATATCACCTTACTTCTGCAAGAATGGCCATAATTTAAAAAACAAAACAAAGAAACAACAACAACAAAAAAAACAGACGTTGTTGCAGATGTGGTGAAAGGGAATGCTGGTGGGAATGTAAACTAGTACAACCACTATGCAAACAGTTTGGAGATTCCTTAAACAACTAAAAGTAGAACTACCATTTGATTCAGCAACCTTACTGCCTGATATCTGCCCAGAAGAAAAGAAGTGCTTATATGAAAAAGACACTTGCACATGCATGTTTATAGCAGCAAAATTTGCAATTGCAAAAATATGCAACCAGTCTAAATGTCCGTCAACCAATGAATGGATAAATAAAATGTTTATATATATATATGTGTGTGTGTATATATATAGGTATATGTTATATATATTACATATATATGTATATACACCATGGAATACTACTCAGACATAAAAACGAATGAAATAATGGCATTTGTAGCAACCTACACGGAGTTGGATACCATTATTCTAAATGAAGTCACCCAGGAATGGAAAATCAAACATTGTATGTTCTCACTCACATGTGGGAGCTAAGCTATGAGGACACAAAGGCATAAGAATGATATAATGGACTCTGAGGACTTGGGGAAAAGGGTGGAAGTGGAGTGAGAGATAAAAGACTACAGATTGAGTACAGTGTACACTGCTTGGATGATGGGTGCACCAAAATCTCAGAAACCACCACTAAAGAACTTATTCATGTAACCAAACACCACCTGTTCCCCCAAAACTATTGAAATAATAATAAAGAAAAAAAAGTCAAAACTTAGAAATTAAGTATTATTTGGACAGGGTTATAAAAAGAAATATGCACCTAATAATGTCATACTCACTCTTTTTTCCTGGTTCCATACAAGCTTTAGAGGCAAGAGGGAGAGAAATTCTGGGCAGACAAGGGCGGGTCCCTGGGGAAACCCCACCTTAGAGCTGAAAAGCCTGAAACCCATGGCCCAAAATGAGAACTTCTATCCATTTGCCTGCACTCTTCCAATTGGTTCTTTCTGAATAAGGTATTTTTATAATCGTATGTTGCCTTTTCCGAAACTACCTACGGCCCTCATTGCCCCCCATCCTGTGCCTATAAAGACCCCAGACTCAGTCTAGAGAGGAGAGAGAAGTAGCTTGACTGGAGGGAGACAACTTGACTTCAGAGGGTTGGCTGGACTTTGAAAGAGAGACAGCTTAACTTCTGAGAGACTGCTTGACTTCAGGAAAGAGCTGGTCAGAGATGGCTGGACTTTGAGGTAAGATTACCTACCAGTCCCTTCCCCTCTACAACTCCCGTCTCCACTGAGAGCCATTTCTATTGCTAAATGAAATTCTTCAGCTCCCCCATTCTTCAAGTGTCTGTGCCTCATTCTTCTTGAATGCCAGACAACAGCTCTGGACCCAACAAGTGCAGGTACCCAAAAAAACGCAGTCACACTGGCCCTTTGCCCTCAATGGCAGAGGGCAGCTGTCCCACTTGATGAGGCAAGGGGACCACTGAGCTGACAACACACCACTGTCCACAACAACAATACTAAGAGAGCATTGTAACTTGCTCTCTGGGGCTTTGGGGGTTGCAGGCACCCCTACCGGGGTGCCACCGTGGCACCTGCATAGAGCTTGCTCTTGCTGGTACCCAAAATGGCTGGCTGGATCTCACATTTGCTCACTCACATGCTTCCTCCTGCAAGGGGTTGAGCACCACGGACCGAGTAAACAAGGCACCCCCATCACAACTCCAAAAAAAGGGTCAAGAAAAATTCTGCATCACAAAATCTTGATTATAACTATCAAAATTCCTCATATTCTCACTCCAAATTGACTTTCAGATCAAAGTTATATCTCAAAGTCAAAACCATCAGTAAATTTTTGATACTATGTTATCTATTATAAATAGAAAGGAGATGAAAAAATACTCAAATTTAAACACTTAAAAAAAACCTCTTTATCATCAAAGATTCAACTTTCTTTCAAGCTAAGGTGTATTAACATCCCTACTTCTCCCTCTACCCCTGCCCTTTGGAAGACTCTGTATTTTCTTCAGGTCTAATCTGTATCAGCAAGGAAAGTAAACTTGTACTACTTCAGTGGATCCCTTTAAACATTCATTCTAGCTGGCCAAGAAGGATTTACTTTCTTTGGAAAATGGTATGATCACATTTATTATGCCCATTCATTAAATGGTTGTTTTCTAATCTGTTAGGGGACCTGCCTAGCCTCAGTAATAACATACTCTTCATTTCTTTAACTAGTAGTTATTTCAAAAGCAATTCATCATTTTAAATAATGAGGTAACTCTTAGTGAGAACCACAAAAGGAATTCTTGCCAACTGGCATTTGTCAATGAGTCATAGATCACCAAAGGTACTGGATGCTCTTAGTGGGTGAGGATAATACATCATGCATATGAAATGCTGGGATGATATGTTGAAGAAGATGAAGATCAGGATGTCCAAGAAAGGGACTGAATCATTTCCCTTTTTAGGTGGAGAAAAAAGGAAAAGGAGAAAGAAAAAAACATGTAATTTAGAAAAGTAACAAAGCACCCTGAGGATCTTTAAATTATAGCTGTGTCATCGGTAAATAGTAATAAGATTGGCCAAAGAAGTAAGGCAATTTTTCTTTAAAAAAGAATAAAATAAGTATCTTCCCAATTGTAAAGTATTATGAAGTACATTTTCTTAACAAGCCAGCTGTATGTTAAGCCTTACTTCCTGCAAAGTCACCAAGCAATGCAGAGTCTTGCATTCATGCTATTAAGCATATAGAACTGTGGAGGTGCAGCTTCATAAACAGTGTACTCCTTTACCGGAGGCTGAGTTGTTTCACCTCTGCGGGGGTAGATTGTGAGGTTCACTCTAACAGACCAGGTATGTTTCTAACTTAATAACACATAAAGTCTTTTGTTGCCATGGCAATCATAAGACTAGAGTCTCTCCCCATATGGAAGGTAATGAATCTAACTTTTACATAAACAGCATTTTAGGATAACATGAAAATTAGTATTTTATAAAAGCACATTTTCAAAACCTCAGATCTACACAAAATGTGCACACACGCTTGTACTCAAATTAACCACCCCCGCTAACCCATATACAGAGCACATCTAAACCACTTTAATCTGAAAGTGTCCAGCCATCCCATTACTGGGTATGTACCCAAAGGACTATAAATCATGCTGCTATAAAGACACATGCACATGTATGTTTATTGCGGCATTATTCACAATAGCAAAGACTTGGAACCAACCCAAATGTCCAACAATGATAGACTGGATTAAGAAAATGTGGCACATATACACCATGGAATACTATGCAGCCATAAAAAATGATGAGTTCATGTCCTTTGTAGGGACATGGATGAAATTGGAAATCATCTTTCTCAGTAAACTATCACAAGAACAAAAAACCAAACACCGCATATTCTCACTCATAGGTGGGAATTGAACAATGAGATCACATGGACACAGGAAGGGGAACATCACACTCTGGGGACTGTTGTGGGGTGGGGGGAGGGGGGAGGGATAGCATTGGGAGATATACCTAATGCTAGATGACGAGTTAGTGGGTGCAGCGCACCAGCATGGCACATGTATACATATGTAACTAACCTGCACAACGTGCACATGTACCCTAAAACTTAAAGTATAATAAAAAATAAATGAATAAATAAATAAATAAAAAATGTTAAAACAGCAAAAAAAAAAAAAAGTGTCTTGAGTTCTTGAAAGTACCCTAAAGCCCCCTTTTTTGCTGACATGTAGCTCAGATTTTAAGTGCTCCATGAAATCACACTAACTCCTAGACACGTGCCCTACAAATATCAACAGCCTAAGATAGCAGCTTGCTTCTACACAGGGAACTAATAAGACTGCAAGCAAAATGAGTCACTTTTCTGATGAGCAGTTTTAGGTTTTTAGTGCTTGTAAGCTGCAAATGTTATTCCTGATCATTAAAATGTTTGGAGGTACAGTTTTGAGGGGATGAGAGAAAGTAATTGGTCATACAAAATTCAGGATACCGTTCTGAAGGATGAAAACCAGAAAGGTGGGGAAACTAGCGTAAGAAACTGACCAAGCCCTGACTGATGACCCAATAATATAATGGTGAGTTTCAAAAACAGACTGTTGTTTTTGTAAGTGTGAGTGTAGGTTTTGGATATTAGAAAGGTCACAAATGGAAAATAGTATGAAAATAAATTTGGAAAATTAAAAGATAATTTGTTTCCCTTACTGCATATTTTGTTTTTATTTTCTTGAGAGTTCAATTTTAACCTGAATGCAAATATTGATTGAGCAGTATTGTTTATAGGACTGTGTACTTGGTGCTGTGAATAAGTCATCTGCCCTTCTATTAAGGAGTTTACAATTGAGTGGAAAGTGGGTAATGGGAGCAGAAAGGAGAAATTTATAAAAGGACACAGCAGAGTGAGAAATAAAGCAACAAAACAGGGGGTTACCTAGTGAATGCAGCAAAACTTTCATAAAGAAAGTGATTAGAATTTTCTTTCTGCTTAAACATGAGGAAAGATGTCTTTAGAATGAAAAGATTGAACAATCAAGTAATATATAATAAACTATTTTGAATAGAAAATTAAGGGGGTTTGTTGGCAACCCATTTAAATTGACATCTTATCTTGGACTTCTGTAATTTTCACTTACGGTTTTCTAAAAAAATCTTACCCAATAGTTTGGAGGCTTAAAAGAGAGAAGTTATCCTCAATCTTAAATTTCCCTTATCTAAGATTCCATAAAAACATTGGATTGGGAAGTGGTGTATGGAGACACTCCAGCTAAAGAGAAGAGTAATAGCTGAGCTGTGAATGCAGGGCATGAGGCTTGTGCTGAGAAAACAGGAAGCGTATAGTGCAGCTGAGTTTGGCCAATGTCTGATCCTCGAATGTTAATGTGTGGATCAGAAATGCCAATAAGAAGAGCTGTCTTACTAGGTATCTTGCTGAAAATTAAAATTTATTTTTTATTTATTTATTGTTTAGAGATTTGGCCTTATGTTTTCCACGCTGGTCTCAAAATCCTGGGCTCAAGAGACACTCCTGCCTCAACCTCCTAAAGTGCTGATATGACAGGCATGAACCACCGCAACTGGCCCTGAAAATTAAAATGTCTAAGCCTCACATAAGAGATTTTATGTAGCAGGTCTGGGTGGAACTCAGGGAACCGCACTTTTAAGTAGTCCAAGACATTTTTTAACATTTTGAGACAACTTTACTTTCAAATTTTAATGCAGGTTTCTTTTAAATACTGATTTTTATTAGGCACGGAGTATGTAAGACAGCAGGCCTCAATGTCACATATATACATGTGTCCAACAGGTAATGTTCACATGTGAAGCATTCTGGTGTATGACAGCAGGGTGTGGCAAGGACACGGCCAAGTTGAAAGCCTCAGGTTCTGGCTAACGAAGCAGCTGTTACATGGTTCTAGCCAACTGTTGGCATGGTTATGATTAATTTCCTCATTTAAAAGATCGTGTGTGAGCCAAACTGATATGTCTGTGGGCTGGAGATGGCCCCTGGAGGGCTAGTTTTCAACATTTAGAGCTTGAGTTTAAGTAGATTTGGAGGAGAGAGAGGAGAGAAACCTGCAGAAAATGATTGAAGGACTCAATGTTAGTCGCTTAATATCTAGGCAGTGAAGAGCCGTTGAATACTTGTGAACTGAAGAATGACATGTCTAGTAATAGTTTCTAACTTGGCAATTGGGTTTCCAATTAAGGAAGCAATTTGTTGTGATGGAATGAGCCCGGGGTTTAGTGACAAACCCGTTGGTATCTCAGTCATACCACTTATATCTTGATTTAATTAAGGGATTCCACTTAATTTCTGTAAGCTTGATTTTCCTTGTCTGTAAAATGACCACAATAAATTTATTGTGAGCACTGAAAAATGTATGGAAAGGGCTATATATCTTGTAAGGTGATGTTCAAATTTATCTAGAGTTTTAGGTCAAAGGGAAGACAAAATGAATTATCAGAAATGCATTGGGAGCTTACTCTAATTTCTCAAGGAAGAGAGGGTAAAACTAATATTTGCATAATGATCAGGCTGATGGCATAATTTAGGAGGCTAAGGAGGATGAGCAAACTCCCCCCTAGGGAACTTTTTGCCATACTTTATGCAGGTGACAGAGAAGAATAAACAGCCAATAACCTAGAATGACAGAGGAGCATTTACTGTACCATCGGGGAGGTGCTTCCATCAGTTCTGTGGAGGAATTCCGTGGTGACTAGAAGTACAAGTTCACTAAAGCTAATTTTCAGGCTACTGTGAGCCTTTCAGCAAACATAGCCTCTCTTGAAGTATTGCTTAGAAGTTCAGATCTTGAACTATGGATTCATTCAATGAAAGACACACCAAGAAAATTGGAGACAGTTCAAGAGACAATCTTCTTTAAATGATTGAAGTAGATATAATTAGTATGCGTCCCCACCACCACATCCTAAGGTTTTGGTATTTCCATCCAAATTAGGCAAGGAACTTCTGCCCACTGCTGCCATACCCTCTCTTGCTTTCTGTCCTGGGAAGGTAGGAATGCACTCACTGTGAAGGGGAGATGGACAGCCCAGTGCCCACCTGGCAGGATAGCTGGGCAAGGAGCACAATATAGAAGGGAGAAGGGTAAAGGTAATGGATGTATTCCTGGTGCAGTGGGCCACAAATCACCAATCAGAAGATGGCAGTAATGACAAGGAGTATCTATTCACATCCTGGCACAAGATGCTCTCTTGATTTCTAAAAGCCTGTGAATGACTGGATAAGCAGTAGGAGAGCTGTGTGAAAGGATATCCACATTGTACTGCTCCAGACACCTTCCCACAGCCTGGCTTTTATGTTGCAAAATAGACATCTGAGAATAGATGAATCCCTGCAGAAGATGGCTGTACTTCGGCATTTAGCCACCTTACCAGTGAATGGCAAGAACCTGGTTACAACAATTTGTTTTTGAATCAGCCATTTCAGCACCAAGTGGTCCTCAGTTTCTGCAAGGCATAGCCACTAGATGCATGCTGGTGAACTTTGTGACCGAGGATTAGAGATCTTTCATTTTGAGATTGGATGATATTTAGAAATGCCAATAAGAAGAGCTGTCTTACAAATCTAAGAATTGTGGAGGGAGAAGGGGGTGTCTACAGTTAGTAACCAGTGTTTCCTTCTCAAAATTGGGGTTATCAGATGACTCATGACTCAAGAGACAGTTGGATAGTGTTACCCTGGGAGCACTCCATTAGACTAAATTGTATACTAACCTAATCTCAGAAGCATGGTGTACAAGTTTAGTGTCCCATTTATCTCTGTCTTCCAGATGGTCCAAACCTCCCCGTGATGGTTAATTTTATGCAGCAACTTGACTGGATTAAGAGATACATGGATAGCTGTTAAGGCATTATTTCTGGGTATATCTGGGAGAGTGTTTCTGGAAGAAACTGGTATTTGAATCAGTAAAGTGAATAAGGAAGATTCACTCTCAGTGTGGGCAGGTACCATCCAATCAGTTGAGGGACCAGTTAGAAGAAAACAGCAATAGAAATGTGAATTTCCTCTCTTCTCTTTTGAAACTAAGGTACTCTTCTCCTACTTTTAGACATCAGAACTCCACGTTCTCTGGCCTTCAGCCTCAGACCACCAGCTCCCCTGATTCTGAGGCCTTCAGGTTTTGACTGATTCCCTGGTTCTCCAGCATGCAGATGGCATATTGAGAGAATTCTCAGCTTCCATAATCACATGTGCCAATTCCCCTAATAAATCCACTCTCACTTATCTATATCTATGTCTATATCTCCTATTGGTTCTGTCTTTTTGGAGAACCCTGACTAATAGGTTTTTCTTAACATTCCCTCTGTAAGTATATATAGTTGTCACTTTGTACAGTCTTTCACAACATAGTATTTTTCAGAGTTGCATGAATCAATTTCTTATATTCAATACACCAATCTAAAAACCATAACATAAAGTATTTTGAGAGGAGGAATTATCTGGGGAGACCCTCTGTAATGATATGAAAAAAGTTTTCATTTTCCTTCTCTATTCTCACAACATAGTCAGCCCAGAACACTTCACCTCTGGCCACCAAAATATGTGGGGGTTTCTCCGCAACAACAACCAACTCTGTGGCAAAAATCAGTGAGATACTCTGGTAATAATTCATTTCAATTCTCACGCTATCTACCTGGAGACAGTTAGATATCATGTGTTGATGGCTCAGTCCCAGAAGACAGCTCCCACTTTAGATGCCAGTTGCAGGTACTAAATTGTCACCTACATTTCTGATCAACTGGCTAACAATCAGAGGTTCGCATGACCCGCCTCCTCAAGCTCAATTAATTTGCTTGAGCAGCTCACAGAACGCAGGGAAACACCAGTTTATTATGAAGGATACTACAAAGGCTACAGATGAGCAGATGGAAGAGATGCACAAGTCACGGTATTTCCATGCCCTCTTTCAGCATGTCACTGTCCAGGAACCTCCATATGTTCATCTATGCATGAAGCTCCCTGAATGAAGTCTTTTTGGGTTTTTATAGAGGCTTTATTACATCATCAGCCATTAACATCAACTCAACCTTTACTCTCTCTCCTCTCCCCAGATGTTGGGGGCTGGTGGAAAGACTAAAATTTTCAACCCTCAGATCACCAGGTTGGTTCCCCTGGCAACCACCCCTTCTCCTGAAGCTATCCAGGAGCCCTCAGCAATCAGTCAACTCATTAGCATACAAAAGAACACATCATTTCAGAGATTCCAAGTTGTTGTGTGCCAGAAACTCGGATGAAGGCCAAACATGTATATTTTATTATAATATGCCTTTTTAATGGTTCTGTTGTTTTCATGGTCTCCTTTAGGGACCTCCTTCAATGGGAAGGGGAAGAAGAGGGAGATATAGGTCCAAGTGCTTAAACTTCTCTCTTCCTTGCATCCTTTTACTAGTGTTCAGTGCGATAACAATACTTGACTGTTCTAATAGTAGGAGAGATATCAGGAAAGTAGTGCATTTGTTTGACTCTGCTTGGATAAGTTTATCCAACATTATTTGAATAAGAGGTATGTTATCGTGGATTACATGCCACCCACTGCGGTTTTGTAGTTGCGAGTTTTGCAAGGATGTTGTTTTGTCAATGGAGTCAATCTTCTCAGACAACTCCCTTAATACTGTCACTAAGGATCATGAGATATGATCTCAGAAGGTCCACAGGACTTCAGAGAGGTAATTCCCAGCACCTGTGATGAGTTACTATCCTAATGCTTGAACATGACTAGTCAAGATGCCACAAACAGACATTTTCCTGTCCAAGGATGTGTCTTATATCTCCAGAACATCAGTTTTACTTTCAGAAGTTCACGCTGGTGACTAGACCTGATATTCTACCAATTTTCTAACAAACAAGAGTGAATCTTTACAACATACACACCATGCAGTTTATTTACGCTTAAACTGCATTGCAATTCCCATACCTGACAATCCCACACCTGTTTTATGTTACTTCCCAGAACTTACTACTGCATAGCATATTATATAATTTGCTTCAGTATTTTATTTACTAAGCATCTGCCTTAGAGGAATATAAGCCACATAGTGAACTGTATCTCCATATCTAGAACAATGCCAGGTACATAATAGGCACTCAATAAATATTGCTCCCTTTGTGAAGGATTGATGCCAATGAATCTTTGATTCTTGCCATGCCCTGGTAGTACGTTCCATGCCTTGTATTCCAATTTCCAGTAGACATAAGTCATCATCTTTATCTGCTTTATATTTCACCTTAGCACTTATCAGTCTCTGACGTTATATAGCAGATACATATTTATGTGCTGTCTTCCTCCTCACCATTCCCCCAAGTAATATACCAGTGCTCTGAAAACTGTCATTTCCTCTGTTTTGTTCATTGCTCTTTTCCCAATTCTTAGAAATGTACTGACACATAGTAGCATAAGTTCAAAAGGAAGGAAACTCCTGTGATTTGATTTTTAGTCCTTCCCATCTATGCCTTTTCATTCTTGTCCAAAATGTCAACATCACTTCCTTCACTTGCTCTTTCCTTCAGAATCTGAGGCTTTTTGGTTGTTTAGTGGTTTGTAGTGGTGGGGAATCTTCAGTCTTTCATATTTGGAATGTTTCTTTATATAACAGCAAATATCATTTGGAGATAAAATGTTCAACATAATATTCTTCCCAAATATGATAATAGCAGTTTGTGCAAATGGAAGATACAAGTGTAATGTAGCAGCACTAGTTTTCTTTTTTTTTTAGCACTAATATTCTTAGGTATAACGGACTCTTCATATTGGGAAGAAAGGCAACCCTTTATTGTGTGGCCACTGAGTCAGTCACATCGCATGAAATTGAATTGTTAATCTTTTTAACAAAACATTGAGCTAAATTCTACTGCAACCATTTTATATTCAAGAAACTGAGGCTCAAAGAAGTGAAGTTTCTGCTCCAAAATCATACAACTGATGGCTGCCAGAACTGTGTTTTGCTGAGGGCTTTCTTACTGACATCCTTTCCATCATCCTAATTTCCAAATCAACTTTCTGAAAATATTTCAAATCCAATGAGTGTGTTAAAAAAAAGAGAGGCTTATCCTTTCATAGTCTCCTTTGAATATGTTGTGTGGCTTTTAGGAAACAGAGTTAGAGTGCAAAAATTAAAGAGCAGGAAAAAAGGATAATTAAAACAAAATATATATTCACAAGAAGTAACATCCATTTCAACTGCTCTGCTACCTAAAATATTATCCATATGTCTGCTATGAGAAGCCATAAGAGAGAAAAACCACAGCTCTGCATTTTAGATCGGTATTTCTCAGACGTCAATAATGTATAACCTCTAGTGTTTATTGAACTTTCTTTACTGCAATATTACCTAATTATACTTAAAGTTTCAGGCTTATTGATCTTTTACAACCAAGATAATTTAAAATGTTGAAAACCACAAAACTGTAAAAACAAAATACAGTCTCAACAATATTTATTTAATGTGGCACATGATATTGTTTGAGGACAGTGAATGGTTATTTTCAATATGAATATAGTTCTGAAGTACATAGCATAGGAATTTTTAAAATTTGTGTAGAACATTGTACCCAGCACAATACACTTAATTATTCCTCAACTTTTCTCTTTGCATACTACTTTTTCCCTCAACTTTTCTCTTTGCATACTACCTTTCTCTTGGCAAAACTATGGCATAAATTTTGCATAGTGGTTGATTTTCATAAGGAAAACATACAACTTTCCCCTACCAAGCGCTCTTCTGGGGCTTTATTGATGTTTCTTGCTTGATTTCTTTTGTCTGAGACAATTAAAATAGTTCTAACTAGCACTTATTCTGGCATAAAAATTGATAATCATAATCTCCTTTCTCTACCAACCATTCTAGGTTTTCCTTATCGTTAGTCTACTTGCCCTGAAAGTAGTACAGATATGTAAATACCTGAGAGGACCTGCTTATGGCACTGTTAGTAGACCACAGTTGCTGAAAATTTCCATTTACAGGTACCCGTTAGGATGGAAGCACCAAGAAGCATGGGTCTACTCTGCTGGGATTCCTCTGCATTGCAGACATACACCTCTTTGCCCACATTATGTAGCAGCATGATAACCAGAATCAATTTCCCCTGCCAATATAGTCACTCTCTTCTTGTCATGCTGATCTACTGACAAAAGAATCTTGGTCAGCCTTCACAACTTTAGATATGACAGAAATATTACTATGCTCCAACAGAAGTGCCCCCTCCCTGATAATTGAGCAGTAGCATGTCTCCATTACAATAAAATCTAAAGTTGTATCGGGAAAGCACAGTCCCACATGAATCATTACGAATTAGAAGGTAACAGGCACTATTTATTCTCCGTAGTTCACAGGCCTATGCCTACCACTTTTTAGGTACACAGTACCAATTAACGGTCATTGATTCAAAATATAGTTATCATTTTGAAAGAATATTACCATCCTTGCAGGGTCATTCTCATTTCAGAAGTCTTAGATAAACCGTTAAGAGGCTATTTGATGTTTAATTAATCTGACAACCATTGGGTGATTCGGTATTTGGTGGAACCAAACCAATGGACCCCATGCCATTTGTTCATTGCTCTCAATCTTTTATATAAACTGAACACACTGGTGTATAGCAATGTTGTGCAACATTCTAGCTTTAATAAAGAAGCCATTTCAGCAGCAAATAAGATCCATTTCAAAATGCCGTTGCCAAAATATTAAATATTGAATACTAAGGGAGCAGCCTCATATCAGTAAACTCTCATATCTAATTATATAGTCTACTACTCCTTATCCAATGACCAGAATTTTCATGGACAAGCTGGTAAGCATTGAGGCCCACTTAAATTATTTTAAATATATATTTTAGTTAAAAATAAGCAAAAATGTGCACAAATAAATATTCTATCTATGGTCTCACAGTTTTCCAATGGGCTTATGTTTATGTGCATGATTTCTAGTAGGTGAGAGTTAACTTGGAATTTTCAGTTCTTTCCAAATGCATTACTGTCCTTATTTCAATGCCCTTCAAAGTTTATCGGCATTTAACTGAAATCTGCTAACTGTAGAAAAATAGAAACATATTTTGAAAATAGTCAGATCCCAAATACAAACAGTTATATATTTACACAATCTGATGCTTGCATTTGCAAAATATTTAATGAGTTTAAAAGTCAGATTCATTATTTAAACAACTCATGGGACAAATATTGAAAAAGAAGTAACTTTATTTAGTACAATTCCAGAAATATTATAAGAAATCTTATTTTAAATCTGATACAAGGGATTCATTTATATCTTGGCATTAGGAAGAGATAAAGAGCAGATGACAGAGAAGGGTGTGTAATTAAAATGGAGGATGGTGGCTTATCTGAAATACAGACTGCTGAATTTTAATTTCCTTCTGACATATTGAAAAGTTTTGCTGAACTTAAACCTACTTATTGTTGAGCCTCTACTGGGTGTACATTGATAAAACCTTCTCTTCATGAAGATTTTCTTGACTCTAAGATAGAGATATTGTTTGTGCACTTGAAGGTTTCCACTATGCCCATAACTTCTTGTGCTCCATTTTCCTATCTGCCTGTGGAAAACCAAACCCTTTTCTTACAGCTTTGCAATTGTCTTAATGACCTTTATAAGTGTGTTGGCATTATCCCTCATTAATATACTCTAAAACCCTAGATTGACCTAAGAACTTATTTCATATAGTAATTGCTAAACAGAAAAGTTTAACTGCTTTCCAAAACAGTAATGCAAATGATTCAATAAGGATCTTTCCTAATTACAGTCTGGCAATTTGTGTTTTCCAATATTCACTAATTCACATAACCAGTATTACTATGTTACATTGTAGATACATATCTGTTGGCCACCCTAGCATCATGTAATTTAGTCTTATGAGTTTTATAAAGAAGGAATTGACGGTGAAACAGGTAACCATTTTTCTTGTTAACACCTTGACAATTAGTTATTATCTTATTTCATCTAATCTAAGACATGATAGATTTTCAGAGTAACCATTATTTCATGTGTACTATTAAGAAAGAAAACCTACAGCTAAAATGGGCATTCTTTTATTATAAGATCAACCTAAATTACAGAGACTGTTAAAACGTATTTTGAGAATTTTCATTTTAGCATTATAAAATATGGTAAATAAAATGCATTCTCCATCCATCAAAAATAGAACTCAGTATTTAATAGTATTTATGAAATTCTGTAGAATATACACCTAATAAATATCAGACAGACCTACACTAAAAAGCATTCAAATGTGCATAAAAATGTAACTTATCAAGGACCTATTCTAATTTAATGAGTGAAATAATAAGAGAAATGTGTCAGATATTTTTCTGCCCTCTTCAGCTTCCAGTGAAATCCCACATTGAAAACTGGCTTACATAAAACCTAAGGCGAATCTACCAGGCTTTCTACAAATGAGTATTATTGCCAGAAAATTAGGCAGTTCTTCTAAGATGTTTTTCTAGATATTAAAGTTCACAAAGTAGAATATGTGGTTGTAAGTAGCAGTATTACAAGGTCTGCTCAACTTTCTTCAAGTTGAAATAATAGTACACAATTAATTACTCTCAACAAATGGCATGAGAACAAATGGACACCCATGTGCAAAAAATTGAGCCTAGACACAGACCTTCCACCTTTCACAAAAATTAACTCAAAATGAACTATAGACTTAAATGTAAAATGCAAAACTATGAAATACCTAGAAGACAACATAGGAGAAAATCTAGATGACCTTGGGATTGGTAATGACTTTTCAGATACCACACCAAAGGCACATCCATGAAAGAAAGGATGAATCAACTTTATCAAAATAAAAATGGTCTGTTCTGCAAAAGACCCTGTTAAGATAATGAAAAGGAAAGCCATACACAAAAAAATATACAAAATAAAAAAAAATTGAAAAGAGAAAAGAAAAGCCACAGACAGAAAAATTGTTTCCAAAAGGCATATCTGATAAAGGATTGTTATCAAAAATATACAAAGAACTCTTATGACTCAACAATAAAAAAAACCAACAACCCAATTTAAAAATGAAATCAACCTATGTGTCCACCAATGGATGATTGAATTTAAAAATGTATACCATGGAAAACTATTCAGTCATACAGAAGAATGAAGTTGTTTTTTGCATCAACATGGACAGAACTGGAGGCCATTACCCTAAGTGAAATTACTCAGAAACAGAAAGTCAAATATCACATGGTTTCACTTGAAAATAGGAACTAAACAATGGGTAAACATGGACATACAGAGTGGAAAAATGAACACTGAAGACTTGGGAGGCTTAGAGAGGGAAGATGGTTGAAAAATTACCTATTGGGTACAATTTTCACTATTTGAATGATGGGCACACTAAAAGCTTAAGCTTCACCACTATGCAATATATTCATCTAATAAAACTGCACTTGTAACCCCTAAATCTATAAAAAATTAAAAATTGTAAAAACTGAGAATCCCTCCAAGATGGCCAAATAGGAACAGCTCCAGTCTACAGCTCCCAGCATGAGCAATGCAGAAGACAGGTGATTTCTGTATTTCCAACAGAGGTACTGGGGTCGTTTCACTGGGACTTGTTGGACAGTGGGTGCAGCCCATGGAGTGTGAGCTGAAGCAGGGTGGGCATCACCTCACCCGGGAAGAGCAAGGGGTTGGGGAATTCCCTTTCCTAGCTAAGGGAAGCCATGACAGACGGTACCTGGAAAATTGGGACACTCCCACCCTAATACTGCACTTTTCCAATGGTCTTAGCAAATGGCACACCAGGAGATTATATCCCACGCCTGGCTCAGAGGGTCCCACACCCATGGACCCTTCCTGACTACTAGCACAGCAGTCCGAGATCAAACTGCAAGGTGGCAGCGAGGCTGGGGGAGGGGCATACGCCATTGCTGAGGCTTGAGTAGGTAAACAAAGCGGCTGGGAAGCTCAAACTGGGTGGAGCCCGCCACAGCTCAACAAGGCCTGCCTGCCTCTGTAGACTCCACCTCTGGGGGCAGGGCATAGCTGAACAAAAGGCAGCAGAAACCTTTTTAAACATCCCTATCTGACAGCTTTGAAGTGAGTAATGGGTCTCTCAGCACAGAGTTTGAGATCTGAGAATGGACAGACTGCCTCCTCAGGTGGGTCTCTGACCCCCGAGTAACTGGAAGACAGCTACAAGTAGAGGCCGACTGACATCTCATACAGCCGCATGCCTCTCTAAGACGAAGTTTCTAGAGGAAGGATCAGGCAGCAATACTTGCTATTCTGCAGCCTCTGCTGGTGATGATACCCAGGCAAACAGGGTCTGGAGTGGACCTCCAGCAAACTCCAACAGACCTGCAGCAGAGGGTCCTGACTGTTAGAAGGACAACTAACAAACAGAAAGGAATAGCATCAACATAAAAAAAAATGACATCCACACCAAAACCCCATTTGTAGGTCAACATCATCAAAGACCAGAGCTAGATAAAACCACAAAGATGGGGAGAAACCAGAGCAGAAAAGCTGAAAATTCTAAAAACCAGAGTGCATCTTCTCCTCCAAAGGAATGCAGCTCCTCGTCAGCAATGGAACAAAGCTGGACAGAGAATAACTTTGATGAGTTGACGGAAGTAGGCTTCAAAAGATCAGTAATAACAAACTTCTCCCAGCTAAAGGATGATGTTCTAACCCATTGCAAAGAAGTTAAAACCTTGAAAAAAGATTAGTTGAATGGCTAACTAGAATAAACAGCATAGAGAAGACCTTAAATGACCTGATGGAGCTGAAAACCATGGTACGAGAAATACGTGACGCATGCACAAGCTTCAGTAGCCAATTCAATCAAGTGGAAGAAAGGGTACCAGTGACTGAATATCAAACGAATTAAATGAAGCAAGAAGAGTTTAGAGAAAAAAGTGTTAAAAGAAACAAATAAATCCTCCAAGAAATATGGGACTATCTGAAAAGACCAAATCTATGCCTGATTGGTGTACCTGAAAGTGACGGGGAGAATGGAACGAAGTTGGAAAACACTCTTCAGGATATTATCCAGGAGAACTTCCCCGACCTAGCAAGGCAGGCCAACATTCAAATTCAGGAAATACAGAGAATGCCACAAAGATACTCCTCAAGAAGAGCAATCCCAAGACACATAATTGTCAGATTCACCAAGGCTGAAATGAAGGAAAAAATCTTAAGGGCAGCCAGAGAGAAAAGTCAGGTTACCCACAAAGGGAAGCCCATCAGACTAACAGCAGATTTCTCAGCAGAAACTCTATAAGCCAGAAGAGATTGGGGGCCAATATTCAACATTCTTAAAGAAAAGAATTTTCAATCCAGAATTTCATATCCAGCCAAACTAAGCTTCATAAGTGAAGGATAAATAAACTCCTTTACAGACAAGCAAATGCTGAGAGAGTTTGTCACCACCAGGTCTGCCTTACAAGAGCTCCTGAAGGAAGCACTAAACATGGAAAGGAACAACTGGTACCAGCGACTGCAAAAACATGCCAAATTGTAAAGATCATTGTTGCTAGGAAGAAACTGCATCAACAAATGAGCAAAATAACCAGCTAACATCATAATGACAGGATCAAATTCACACATAACAATATTAACCTTAAATGTAAATGGGCTAAATGCCCCAATTAAAAGACACAGACTGGCAAATTGGGTAAAGAGTCAAGACCCATCAGTGTGCTGTGTTCTGGGGACCCATCTCACATGCAGAGACACACACAGGCTCAAAATAAAGGGATGGAGGAAAATCTACCAAGCAAATGGAAAACAAAAAAAAGCAGGAGTTGCAATCCTACTCTCTGATAAAACAGACTTTAAACCAACAAAGATCAAAAGAGACAAAAAGGCCATTACATAATGGTAAAGGGATCAATTCAACAAGAAGAGCTAACTATCCTAAATATATATACACCCAATACAGGAGCACCCAGCTTCCAAAGCAAGTCCTTAGAGACCTACAAAGAGACTTAGACTCCCACACAATAATAATGGGAGACATTAACACACCACTGTCAACATTACACAGATCAACGAGACAGAAAGTTAACAAGGATATCCAGGACTTGAACTCAGCTCTGCACCAAGTGGACCTAATAGACTTCTACAGAACTCTCCACCCCAAATCAACAGAATACACATTCTTCTCAGCACCACATCACACTTGTTCCAAAATTGACCACATAGTTGGAAATAAAGCACTCCTCAGCAAATGTAAAAGAACAGAAATCTTAACAAACTGTCTCTCAGACCATAGTGCAATCAAATTAGAACTCAGGATTAAGAAACTCACTCAAAACTGCACAACTACATGGAAATTGAACAACCTGCTCCTGAATGACTACTAGGTAAATAATGAAACAAAGGCAGAAATGAAGATGTTCTTTGAAACCAATGAGAACAAAGACACAACATACCAGAATCTCTGGGACACATTTAAAGCAGTGTGTAGAGGGAAATTTATAGCACTAAATGCCCACAAGAGAAACTAGGAACGATCTAAAATCGACACCCTAACATCACAATTAAAAGAACTAGAGAAGCAAGGGCAAACACATTCAAAAGCTAGCAGAATGCAAGAAATAACTAAGATCAGAGCAGAACTGAAGGAGATAGAGACACAAAGAACTCTTCAAAAAAATCAATGAATCAAGGAGCTGGTTTTTTGAAAAGATCAACGAAATTGATAGACCTCTAGTAAGATTAATAAAGAAGAAAAGAGAAGAATCAAATAGATGCAATAAAAAATGATAAAGGGGATATCACCCCCAATCCCACAGAAATACAAACTACCATCAGAGAATACTATAAACACCTCTATGCAAATAAACTAGATAATCTAGAAGAAATGGATAAATTCCTGGACACATACACCCTCCCAAGACTAAACCAGGAAGAAGTTGAATCCCTGAATAGACCAATAACAGGCTCTCAAATTGAGGCAATAATTAATAGCCTACCAACCAAAAAAAGTCCAGGACCAGATGGATTCACAGCTGAATTCTACCAGAGGTACAAAGAGGAGGTGGTACCATTACTTCTGAAACTATTCCAATCAATAGAAAAAGACGGAATCCTCCCTAACTCATTTTATGAGGCCAGCAACCTCCTGATACCAAAGCCTGGCAGAGACACAAAAAAGACAATTTTATAGACCATATATCCCTGATGAACACTGATGCAAAAATCCTCAATAAAATACAGCAAACTGAATCCAGCAGGACATCAAAAAGCATATCCACCACGATCAAGTTGGCTTCATCTCTGGGATGCAAGGCTGATTCAACATATGCAAATCAATAAATGTAATCCATCATGTAAACAGAACCAAAGACAAATTGTCTCAGTAGATGAAGAAAAAGCCTTTGATAAAATTCAACAGCGCTTCATGCTAAAAACGCTCAATAAACTAGGTATTGATTAGACATATCTCAAAATAATAAGAACTATTTATGACAAACCCACAGCCAATATCATACTTAAATGGGCAAAAACTGGAAGCATTCCCTTTGAAAAGTGGCACAAGACAGGGATTCCCTCTCTCACCACTCCTATTCAACATAGTGTTGGAAGTTCTGGCCAGGGCAATCAGGCAGGAGAAAGAAATAAAGGGTATTCAATTAGGAAAAGAGGAAGTCAAATTGTCTCTGCAAATGACATGATGTATATTTAGAAAACCCCATTGTCTCAGCCCAAAATCTCCTTAAGCTGATAAGAACTTCAGCAAAGTCTCAGGATACAAAATCAATGTGCAAAAATCACAAGCATTCCTATACACCAATAATAGACAAAGAGCGAGCCAATTTGTGAGTGAACTTCCATTCACAATTGCTTCAAAGGGAATAAAATACCTAGGAATCCAACTTACAAGGGATGTTAAGGACTTCTTCAAGGAGAATTACAATGAAATAAAAGAGGATACAAACAAATAAATGAAATAAAAGAGGATACAAACAAATAGAAGAACATTCCACACTCATGGATAGGAAGAATCAATATCGTGAAAATGGCCATACCGCCCAAGATAATTTATAGATTAAATGCCATCCCCATCAAGCTACCAGTGACGTTCTTCACAGAATTGGAAAACACTACTCTAAAGTTCATGCGGAACCAAAAAACAACCCATATTGCCAAGACAACCCTAAGCCAAAAGAACAAAGCTGGAGGCATCATGCTACCTGACTTCAAACTACACTACAAGGCTACAGTAACCAAAACAGCATGGTACTGGTACCAAAACAGAGATATAGACCAATGGAACAGAACAGAGCCCTCAGAAATAATACCACACATCTACAACCGTCTGATCTTTGACAATCCTGACAAAAACAAGAAATGGGGAAAGTATTCCTTATTTAACAAATGGTGCTGGGAAAACTGGCTAGCCATATGTAGAAAGCTGAAACTGGATCCCTTCCTTACACCTTATACAAAAATTAATTCAAGATGGATTAAAGACTTAAATGTTAGACCTAAAACCATAAAAACCTAGAAGAAAACCTAGGCAATACCATTCATGTCATAAGCATGGGCAAGGACTTCATGACTAAAACACCAAAAGCAACGGCAACAAAAGCCAAAATAGACAAATGGGATCTAATTAAACTAAAGAGCTTCTGCACAGCAAAAGAAACTACCATCAGAGTGAACAGGCAACCTACAGAATGGGAGAAAATTTTTGCAATCTACTCACCTGACAAAGGGCTAATATCCAGAATCTACAAAGAACTTAAACAAATTTACAAGAAATAATCAAACAACCCCATCAAAAAGTGGGAGAAGGATATGAACGGACACTTCTCAAAAGAAGACATTTATGCAGCCAACAGACACATGAAAAAATGCTCATCATCACTGGCCATCAGAGAAATGCAAATCAAAACCACAATGAGATACCATCTCACACCAGTTAGAATGGCGATCATTAAAAAGTCAGGAAACAACAGGTGCTGGAGAGGATGTGGAGAAATAGGAACATTTTTACACTGTTGGTGGGAGTGTAAACTAGTTTAACCATTGTGGAAGACAGTGTGGCAATTCCTCAAGGATCGAGAACTAGAAATACCATTTGACCCAGCCATCCCATTACTGGTTATATACCCAAAGGATTATAAATCATGCTGCTATAAAGACACATGTACACGTATGTTTATTGTGGCACTATTCACAATAGCAAACACTTGGAACCAACCCAAATGTCCATCAATAATAGACTAGATTAAGAAAATGTGGCACATACACACCATGGAATACTATTCAGCCATAAAAAGGGATGAGTTCATGTCCTTTGCAGGGACATGGATGAAGCTGGAAACCATCATTCTTAGCAAGCTGTCACAAGGACAGAAAACCAAACACCGCATGTTCTCACTCATAGATGGTAATTGAACAGTGAGAACACTTGGGTACAGGGTGGGGAACAACACACACTGGGGCCTGACATGGGGTGGTGGGAGTGGGGAAGGATAGCATTAGGAGAAATACCTAATGTAAATGATGAGTTAATGGGTGCAGCACACCAACATAGCACATGTATACATATGTAACAAACCTGCAAGTTGGGCACATGTAGCCTAGAACTCAAAGTATTAAAAAATAAAATAAAATAAAAATAATAAAGGAAAAAAAAAGAAAAAAGAAAAACAGACCAAAGTCTTTAATAGACATATAGATAGCAAATAAGAACATAAAAATATTCTCTACATTATATTTAATCAGTGAAACACAAATGAAAACAACAGTGAGTTACTCACTACACACTTATTGGAATGGCCAAACTCCAGAATCCTGGAACACCCAATGCTGCTAAGGTTGCAGAGTAACAGAAAACCTCACTCATTGCTGTTGGGAATGGGGGAAAAAAAAAGTACAGCCAGCCACCTCAAAGGACAATTTACTGGTTTCTTATAAAACTAAACATACTCTTACTGTACCTTAACAAGTTGAAAACTCTGTGTTCACATACAAACCTGCATGTGAATGTTTGCAGCAGCTTTTTTCATAATTACCAGAACTTGGAAGCGATTAAGATATCCTTTAGTAACTGAATGGATCATTCAGTAACTGCATAGATCATTTATTTTCAGCACTAAATAATATTCCATTGTCTGGATGTGCCAGACATCATATTGCATTGTCTGGATGTGCCAGACAACGGAATATTATTTAGTGCTGAAAAGAAATGATGTCTGGCACATCCAGACAATGGAATATGATGTCTGGCACATCCGGACAATGGAATATGATGTCTGGCACATCCAGAGAAAGGAATATTATTTAGTGCTGTAAATAAATGAGCTATCAAGCCAAGAAAAGATGTGAAGGAAACTGAAGTGGCTATTATTAAGTGAAAGAAGCCAATCTGAAATAGGCATATACTGTATGATTCCAACTATATGACATTATGAAAATGTCAAAATTATGGGGACAGAAAGATCATCATTTGCCAGGGGTTGAAAGGGAGGAAGGGATAAATAGGTGGCACACAAAATATTTATAGGGCACTGAAACTACTCTGGATCATACTACAGTTGTGGATACTTGCCATTATACATTTGTCCAAACCCATAAAATGTACAATACCCAGTAACCCCTAATGTAAACTGGGGTCTTTCAGTGATAAAGATGTGTCAGTGCAAGTTCATTAATTGCAACAACACACCACTCTGGTAATGAAGGAACCTATGTATGCATAGGGGCAAGAGATATGGGGAATCACTATACCTTCTCAATTTTTCTGTGAACCTAAAATTGCTCTAAAAAATAAAGTCTAATTAAAAATATAAATAAACCACCACTAGGGTAACACATTTTGTTTTGTATTCTATAATCAACCATGACAATCTCCGGACCATGATAATCTCCAGACCATGATAAAAAGCTGTGTTCTAAGAGGATTTAATAAAGTAAGACACCAGAGAACAATGTGTACATAGTATCACAAACAAAATCTTTATTGAATTTCACACAGCATAGAGGAGTATTTCCTTATCCTAAGTAATTCAAAATAAATATTTGACAAGTATTTCTGTACTAATCAGTTATTGAACTTCTAGTTGTATTTCATGCAACCATTGTTTCTAAGCCTTAAAAAGTGTTAGCCAAAGAAGGAACGAATGAGAAAGATGAATTCCAACCATGTTTAAGTGAATCCCCAAAGTTAATTAAGGTAAAACACCTTATAAAGAATTCCCTGGGTGCCAAGCTGTATAACTATACTTTGGTAAATCAAAAAATTATAATTTTTCTGTTGTTTGAATTTTTAATGTATATGTTTTATGAAAACAATAGTTATTTTGTTTTTAAATGTCCTTACATTTATATGCTATAATATAATTACTAGCTGCGTATGCCCATGCTTTCTGTTAATTGTAAGCTCTCTGTGGGAGGGTATTTTGTCTTTTTAATGTAATACTCAAGACACGCAAAATATGTTAACAGATGTGTAATTTGTCATAATAATTATAACATGAAAAGCCATAAGCACACCAATCATCTTAGGAATATACGTATTCCTACGATAATAAATGCTTGATGCTCCACGTATTCTTTCTGACTCTGTATTTCTTCCACCACTAGTGGTACCAACTATCCTCAATTTTATTATTCATGGTTTTGCTGTCATGTTATGGTATTATTCACTCATGGATGCTTTCTGATGTGATATATCTTTTTTTTTTTAGCTTTATAAATATCAAGGTTTTTCTCCCCTAACATGCACCTATGCTGTTGCATGTAACTATAGCTCATTCATATTCCCTATTTTATACAATTCAACTGTTTGAGTCTCCCCAAATTTACTTACCCCATTTTCCTGAATGCCATTTGGTTTGTGTTCAGGGGATCAATGTTTGTTTGTTTTTCCTATTGTGAACAAGACACACTGCACATTCATGCCAGACCTCCTGCAAACCAGTAAGTTTCTCAAGTGAACACACACACATTCACACAAACACAAAGAAATGGATGAACTGTGTTTTATAATGTGTCCACCTTTATGAGTTAATGCTTTTTAAAAGTGAATTATTTATACCTCTACCAGAAGTATAAAAGTACATTCAGTCCTCCATATTTTTGCCAACATTTAATATAGCCAGGATTCTTGACTTGTGTTATGTGTTGCTTTGTAACCAATTTGGGGGTATAAAATGCTATCCTATTGTCGGATTAATTACCATTTTTCTGATCAGTAATGTAATTATGCATTCTTTTATTTCATTCACATTGTTTTTTCTCTTTTGTAAAATATCTCCTAATGTATTATGCTTACATCAAGGTTGAATCATTGATTATATATGGGTTTTGAGGCATGGTTTCTTTCAGCAAATTTTTTTGAGATTCATAAATTCTTCGGGTAGTTGTAGTTCATTCTTTTTTATTATTGAGTACCATTTGGCTGTATACACTTTATCAGTTTTTCTATTGACAGTTTTTGACTATTATGAATAAAGAGGCTCTAAATAGTTGCTTGTAAACAGTCATTGCCTGAACATAGTTTTTTTCTTTAATTTTCCTTGGGCAAATAGCTGAAAGTGAAGTTGTAAGGTCATATGGTAAGTATGTTTAACACTTACCAAAGCTGTTAGTTTTTCAGTGTCTATATGCAATTTTATATTCTCACTAGAAATGGATGAGTGTTACAGTTTTGCCAATCCCTACTACCACTTGATATTGTCAGTCTTCTTGATTATAACCATTCCAGTGGATGTGCAGTAGAATTTCATAATGGTGTTGAGTCGCATTTTAGTGCAACTCATGATGTTTCACATCTTTTCATTTGGTTATCGGTCATTTTTATATCTTCCATGTGAAATATTCCGTTGTTTTTTCCTATTTGGGGAGCCGAGTACCTTTTCGTAATTTAATTGTGAATGTTTATATATTCTAAATAAAAGCTGTTTTTCAGATATATGTATCATGTTTCACAGCGGGGTTTTTTCCACTTTGTGGCTTGTAATATATTTTCTTAATAATATTTTTAAACAACATAGGTTTTTGATTCAATAAAACACAATTTATTACTTTTTCTTACATGGCTCATGCTTTTTCTGTTTTTACTAAAAATATTTGTTTATCCCCAAATTGCAAAAATTTTCCCCATGTTTTCTTCAAGAAATATTATAACTTTAGTTTTTTTAGATTTACGTTTATACGCCACATTTTAAGTTGATATTGTTGTACGTAAGATAAAGGTTCAAGTTCATGTTTGCTAAGTTATGTCTTGTTGCTCTGCATCTAATTTTTTGGTATTGAAAAAATACGACACATATATTTTCCCATTGACACATCATGGTAGTGTTCGTAAGAATGTTAGTGGACCATATACACTGTGGGTCCATTTCTAGATTCTCTTCTGTTTCATTGACCTATGCAAATTTCCCTAGAGTCAGTCTTGGAATCAAATAGTTCAAATATTCAAGTTTTGTTATTCTTTAGCAAAACCCTTTTGGCTGTTTTAATTCCTCTTGTCAATATAACATATTTAATTATAGTGATAATTTTATGCTAAAGTCAATTGGCATTTTGATTTGAATTTCACTGAAGCTGTTTATCAATTTGATGAGAACAGATACCGTAGCATTATTGAATCTTCTGATTCCTAAACATGGCATATCTCCATTAATATATATATTATTTAATTTCTCTCAGGAGTGCAATTATAACACTCATTATTGCTTTTAAATTTTCAATTTCCAATTGTTCATTGTAAAAATATAAAAATATAATTGATTTTTTGTGTATTAACCATGTATTCTGTGATCTTGCTAAACTCACATATTAATGTTTAGTGGAATTTTTTGTAGATTGCTTTGGATTTAATATATACACAATTATGGCATCCGACAATAAAGACAATATCCTTATTTATATATCTGTATGTTTTATAATTGCTATTATTTATTTTCCTTTCCTTAATTCACTGGTTAGGAATTCTAGCGGAAGTCGTAAAGTGGCCATTATTGGTTTGTTCTTGATATTAGGAAGAAAATATTCTTTTTCATTATGAAATGTGATGTTAGTATAGGTTTGTTGTATATGTCCTTTCTCAGATTGAGAAAATAGGTATTTAAATTTTTCAAATTATTTTTCAGCATTCATTAATTGAGTTGGTAGAATGCTGTTTTCCTCTTATATTCTCCCAATATAATGAAACATATAAAATGGTTTTCAAAAGTTGCAACAGTATTTTTATTTTGCTTGAAATTTGTTTCACAGTAGGATATATTGACTATATTGGTGAATATTTCATGTACTGCAGTTGAATATGTATTTTTCAGTAAGTATGTGATACATTCTGTTAGGTTGATTGATAACATCTTATATATTCTTATTGGTGTTCTCTGTGTGTATTCTATTATTTACTCATCGAATAGTCGATATCTAGAACCATAATTGTGGATTTGTCTTTTTCTCTTTTTTTTTTTTTTTTAATTATACTTTAAGTTTTAGGGTACATGTGCACGTTGTGCAGATTAGTTACATATGTATACATGTGCCATGCTGGTGCGCTGCACCCACTAACTCGTCATCTAGCATTAGGTATATCTCCCAATGCTATCCCTCCCCCTTCCCCCCTCCCCACCACAGTCCCCAGAGTGTGATATTCCCCTTCCTGTGTCCATGTGATCTCATTGTTCAATTCCCACCTATGAGTGAGAATATGCGGTGTTTGGTTTTTTGTTCTTGCGATAGTTTACTGAGAATGATGGTTTCCAATTTCATCCATGTCCCTACAAAGGACATGAACTCATCATTTTTTATGGCTGCATCGTTTTTTCACTGACCCGGTGAGGCGGGGGGGTGAGCCCCGAGGGGCTCTCGGATTTGTCTTTTTCACCCACCAGTTTGATGTGTGGTTTGTTATATACATCAAAGCTCTGATTTAGATCTTTCACATATACCTTCTTAACAAGTTTACTGCTTTATTATTATAAACCGTTACGTTTTATGCTTGGTAATATTCTGTCTTCTGAGGTCTATTTTGTTAATATTGTAGAGTCAAATCAGTTTTCTTAATATTAGTGTTTGCATGGTGCATATTTTGCCATTGTTTTACTTTGTCATATTTTTATCTTTAAAGTGAGTTTCTTGCAGAGAATACTTAAGGCTCTTTTATTTTTTATTCATTCTAATCTGAATCTCTGACATTTGATTGAAATTTTAGACTATTGTCAATGAAAAATAGTCAAACTTTGTAAAATATTTTATAAGGTCTATTCTAAGCCAAATCTGAGCGGCCAAGGCCCAAGACAACAGTCTCAAGAGGTCCTAAGAACACATGCCCAATGTGGTTGGGCTACAGCTTATTTTTATACTTTTAGGGATCAAAAGTTATAGGCAGATATCAATCAATACATGTAAGGCATACATTCGTTTGGTCTGGAAAGGCAGGACATCTTGGAGCAGGGGCTTCCAGGTCATAGGTGTATTTAAAGATTTTCTGATTGGAAATTGGTGTAAGAATTAAGTTATTATCTAAAGACCTGGAATTAATAAAAAGCAATGTCTGGGTTAAGGTAAGGGACTGCAGAGGCCAAGATTCTTATTATGCAGATGAAATCTCCAGGTAGTAGGTTTCAGAGAAAAGAGTTGGTAAATGTCTCTTATCAGACCTAAAAAGGTATCAGATTCTTAAATTTCTCTTGGATTAAGAAAAGACCAGGAAAAGGAAAAAGACTCTCTATTGAATGTAGATTTTTCCCCACAAGAGACAGCTTTGCAGGACCATTTCAAAACACATCAAGGAAATATATTTTGAGGTAAAATATTTTGGTTTCTTTCAGGGCCTACTATCTGTCATGCAATGCTATACTACTGTCAGGTTGAAATTTGGTATTTTATTGCTACACACAGTCTGTTTTGACATTCTTAGGATCTCTGTTTTAATGTCAATGCTGGTGAGTTATGCCTGAATTCCAAAAGGCGGATAGTATAATGAGGCATGTCTGACCCTTCCTTCCTTCCCATCATGGTCTGGAGTAAGTTTTCAGGTTTTCTTTGGAATCCCCTTGGCCAAAAGGTGGGGACATTCAATCAATTGGGAGTGTTTGAAATTTTATTTTTTATTTATACTATTTATTATTAATGTAATTATTAATAAAAATAGGTTGGTGTCTATGATCTGAAAATATATATTAAAATTGTCTCATCTTTTCTTTGGTCGTTCTATTTCTTCTTTTCTCCTTGATTTATTTTGAGTTTATGAGATATATTTCTAATTACATTTTATGTCCTCTGCTGGCTTATTATTTATGCCTTTTTATTTTATTTCCTAGTGGTTATTCCTGAACTTATAATAGTATTTTAACTTATCACAGTCTATCACCTAATTTATTATTTTACATATAATTTATTAAGAGTACAAAAGTACAATTCCATTTCACCTCTTTCATCCTAGTTGCAATTTTGACAATAGCATTTAATCTCACAGATTTTGCAAACCTCATAAGACGTTATTATTTTTGCTTAAAACAGTTAACCATCAGTTTAAGAGGTTTGTTTCAAGTGCTTTATATACATATTTTGCATTTCTGGTGTGCTTTACTTCTTTGTGCAGATCAAAATTTTTATCTGGCATAACATTTCTTCTGAAGTTTCTCTAAAATTTTTTATTGGGTTGTTACTCTAAACAAGTTCTCCCAGTCTTTGAAAAATTATATAGTTTCTCTTCATTTATAAAATATATTTTATAGTTGACTGATAATTTTATTGTTTCCACATTTTAAGAGTATCATTCCATTGTCTCTTGAAACATATAGTTTATGATGAGAAGTATATGGTACTCTATTAGTTCCTTTTTTGTAGAAGACAGCAAACTTTCTCTGCAAAAATCTAAATTGTAAATATTTTAGAAAATAAATATTTTAGGCTTTGTCGCTGATAAAAGGTCTATGAGACAAAAGATCTCTGTCTCATATCCTTTTTTCTGTTTTTTATTGTTGTTTCTAAACTTGTAAAAAATGAGAAACTCATTCATAGTTTGAGAACTGTACAAAAACAGGCCATTAACTAAATTTGACCCATGGGCTGTAGTTTGCTGGCCTTTTCTCTATTGTAATTACATGTCCTTTTAATTTTTATTATTGTAATATTTTTATCTTGTTTTTTAGAAATTTATGTGTTTCTATCTTTGGTGTTCCTTAGCTAACATATATATGACATATATAATTCCCAAGATTAGTTATAACATAGTTATCAATATTTTAATAGCCTTATTGATGGATAATTTTCATGACATAAAGTCCACCTGTTTTAAGTGTACAATTTAATGACTTTTAGTAGATTTTCAGTGTTAATTCTTTCATCATCATAATTAAGTTTTAATACATTTTCTTCGTCCCAAAGAAATTGTTTATTCCCTTTTGTGGTCAGTCTTCTATTCCATCTCAAGCACAGGAAACTTCTAATCTATGTTCTGTCTCTGTAGATTTTCCTTATCTGAACATCTCCTATAAATACAGTCAGATAGTTGGTCTTTTGCTTATTGTAGTGACTCTCATCTAGGAGTAGTTTTGCAACCAGGGAATATCTTACAATGTCTACAGACATGTCTAGGTGTCACAACTAGGGTGGGTGCTATTAGCATCTAGTAGATGGATGTCAGGGATGTTAGTAGACACTCTACAAAGTAAAGACAGCTTCTGCATGACAAATAATTGTTTATCCTCAAAATTCAATACTACTAAAATTCAGAAACTCAGACTTAGTATAATGTTTTGGAGGTTTATCCATATCATAATTTTATCCATTGTTCGGTCCCTTGTATTGCTAAATGATTTTTATTATGTGGATATACAACATTATAACATATGTAACAGAGGATGCACATTTACATTGCTTACATTTGTGGCATCTTTTGCATTGCTGCCATGAACAGTTGTTTGTAAGACCTTTTATATATATACATTTTCATTTCGCGGGTAAATGCCTAAGAGTAGAATTGTCAGAGCATATAATTATTTTTCTGTTTATTAGTCATTTACATATCTTTGAGAGTATGTAATAAATATATATATGAGCCATCATATATCTTTATTTTGAGACTTAGTAATTCCATTAAACTCCATTGCTTATTTTACTTTGGTTTAGATATCCCCTTATTATTGGCTTTTAATGTTCTTTATACATTTTAGATATGAGCACTTTATCCTACATGTGGTTTGGAAATATTTTGTCTGTGGCTTGTCCTTTCGCTTTCTTAATAAAATCTCTTGTCTCACACATACATACACCCCTCACACACACCTCTCAAGAGTAGTAAATATATTGACATGACAAAAAAAATCAGAAAATATACGAAATAAACATGAGCAAGAGGTTATCTGAAATGCTTCAATGCATTGGTTTGTATTTTCAATTTGGAAAGATTGAACTTACTCCTTTATGTTTTTTAAGCAAGCCTGAAGTTAAAGCATTTGTAAAGGCTTTTGTTTTCACTGTGTTTACATATTTTATAGAGAATGAACTTATCTCCTTTGCTTGGTCTGTTTCTCTTTGGAAGTTATTGCCAGAAGTCTCAGGGAGCTCTGCATTCATAATTGAAGTCAATCTTCTCATGTTCTATCTTCTAGAGATAGAAACACTATGTTCATACCCTTTACAAAATAAACCTATCTTGAATGCTAATTATTCAGTCACCTCACAACTCTTTCTTCCCTAGGGTAAACACTACACTTTTTTATCCTAGCCATAGTGTTTATAGTTTTCATCCTTGAGCAGTTTGAGGCTTGTTAAAACACTCTTTAGTTTCTCCACATACTTTTTTAACTTAATAAATATTTCAGATAAAGAATAGCTATATTTGCATTTTTAAAACATGAGCATCATTAAACTTCTAATAAGAATACAAATACACAGTTAATATATGCATCTATATGATTTTGAATTTATGTTCAGTTTTATGAATTTTCACATGAATTTTGCACTGTTGATATTCATACATGCATAGTGGGTCATTTGTTATCATGCCAAAAGTTATCATTTGCTGTAGTATTACAGACACTTTTCATGAATAAATAATCTTTGTTGGTATTCCTCTCAAAAGGCTTATACAAAGTCTCTATCACACACTACTGAATAATCATTTTACTGTCGAACTTTTGAATAATTCTAGAAAAAATTTTTAAAAAGCAAGAAGAATACACACTAATGATTAATTAATGATTGAGAATAATATATCATCTAAAATGTTCGGAAAGATACGAAAAATGACAAAAGTCGACATACTTTAATAAGCAATGTAGCAATGGAAAGACACTGAGGAAAGTGTGTTAGTGATTGTGTTTTTGGTTGCCAAGAATTTGAGACTATTTTCCTGTAAATGGTCACCACGGTGGATATTAATATTAAAAAACAGTTTAAGGGAAAAGAGATAATGTTTAAGAAACAATCAATAAATGGTTGTATAATATTTACTGAAAACCAATTATGTGCTAGGCCAGTGTTATACACTCACAAAACAATAGTAAACAGGACAGAAAGTTGTGAGAACTAAAATCTAATCAGAACAAACTCATTCATACAAACAAATTTGTTTTCAGGTAATCCTTACAAGAACTTTTTGAGATGTATATAATGATTTCCATCAAATGATTTAGCAAACTGAGGCTTAGGAGGATGCAGTTCTATGCCCGAATACAGGCAGACATCAGAGATATTGCAGATTTAATTCTATGCCCGAATACAGGCAGACATCAGAGATATTGCAGGTTTAATCTCAGACCACTACAATAAAGTGAATATTGCAATCGGGCAAGTGACACAATGTTTTTTTGCTTTCCAGTGCATATACAAGTTATGTTTACACTAGGCTGTACTCTATTAAATGGTGTGCAATAGCATTATGTCTAAAATAACAATGTACACACCTTAATTAAAACTATTTTATGGCTAAACGATGCTGACACCAAGACATGAAATGATCACACACTATAGGACAGAGCTGATAGATTTGCTTGCCACAAGCCTTAAATTTGTAAAACATGTGATATCTGTGAAGCACAATGTAATGAGGTATACCCTATATCTGAACATGAAAAGAAGTCTTGTTCTAATCAATGTTTTCAAACTAAAATATCAATTTATCTCCAATCTACCCCATATATTAGCCAATATGTTCACAAGAAAGACTCATGCAAAGCTTGCATATTTAAATGAATAGCTACATATCAATCCAAATTAGAGTTCTGTTTCTCATATTTTCCTTATTCAACATGCATCCCAAGTAGAAATGTGCTTATAAAGACTTCTGCCCATGACACTGTAAAATATCAAGTAAAAGGGTATTCCCAATTATTAGCACTCACAATGATTTCTCAATTAGATATTAATACCTAGCTTGGAATACTGCTGGTCATCTGTTGAGCTAAATTACATGAAGTACTTTATCCCTAGATTACTTACGCAACTCTGTATTTATAAAATGAGGTTTCTGTGACAATAACCTATTCAATTTTAGTTGTGTTTGAGTAAGCAAAAACAAATATCTTCAGAACTAATCACTTATAAATTATTTCTATTCAGGACTATCCAATAGTCAAGAGGCAGAAATCTAGCCCCCATTGTTTGATGTCCAACATGTAACTGTGAAAATATTTTTGAACATTAAAATATCAAGAAAACAATAAAGTAATCACACCAAGAAAGAAAAAATTCTGGAACTGAGTCAATTCAAAACCCATATATACCCTGGGTAAATATATGAAAACTCTTCTGTGTCAATAAAGTGACTGCAAAATAGCAGATAATAAGATATATATGATTTATAAAAGAAAAAACTCAGAATTATGGTGAAGGGTTACAAAAACTGAAGTGTAATAGTGTAAATAAAAAAGATTTACATTTAATAAAATACAAAGTTTCAGTTATATTTAAATTTTAAAAAATCATATAATCTTATTCTTTAAAAGGTAAAATTTTTATGTATGACTATTGGTGTTTTAACAGCTATGACGGTGTTTTTGCGCAGCAGCAATTCTCAATCCAAATTTAGAGCTCAGATATTTGATTTCTGTTAGTGCTATTTGCTAAAAGGAAGCTGAGATATTTGGGGGTTGTGGATTCTGCATCCCGGTGAAAAATAATAGAGGCTAAAAATAGGCTTAGAACATCTTTATCCCACAATAAAGCAAAACATAGTTTCAAGGATGTAATGAATTGCTCTAAAACAAGCAAAGAAACGGTCTTTTCCTCATTAGATTTAATTATAATATGTGTTTGAAAGGTTATAAATATTAGATGATACATTGGTTAGTCCTGCTACATACCAAACATTTCTGAAGTCTCGATGACTTATAATAACATTCAATCCTCATCCATATTGTATACATGCATACATGCTACTGCAGCTCTGTTTAGCATGATTTTATGTGTCTTTTTCTGGGACCCAGGCTAAAAGGATATTCTCAATGTGAGACATGCACTTTCTTGGGACAGAGGAGAGGACCAAAAGAGACCAGTCTGCACCATAAAATCTTAAGACTTCTGCTTAGTTATAGGCTATGTTAGATCCACTCACATCCCCTTAGGCAAAGCAAGTTGCATGGCTAAGTCCAACATTGTTGAGGGAAGAAAAGATATCCCTCTTATGGGAGGAGAGAGAGAGTAAATATTTGCATAAAATAATATATTCTATCACAGCATTCCAAATAAGACAATTATAAGATATAGAAGTATATACAGTAGAACATGTTGAATTTTTAATTAAATATTTAAACTGAAGTGCTAACAAGCATAAGTATTTTCTTTAAATACAGGCCAGTTCATGAACTATAGATACATGTTATGTTTTCTTTCATTTTATTTTGAAGTGTGGTGATGGGTGTGGAAATACCAGTTAATTTCAATCGTTATTAATAATGAAAAGAAAAAAGTGATGCAACATTTATTCACTATAGGTGGTCATACTCTGTGATGAAGCAGAAAGAAATTTGAACTCTGTTTCAGTTGACAAATCAGCTAGCATCCTAAGAGAAGAGCTAATTGTGCTGGTTAGGTTTCTTATCCCTCAGGATTTAAATCTTCTATTAATTACAATAAGATACAATTAAGGCTTACATGTATTATCACATAAATTACCCCCATCAGGTTAATATATAAGGATGCCAGGATAATGGGTCATACAGCACTGAACAAATCTAAAGAACACATCCTTCTATAGAACAACAATCTGAAAAAGGATAAAAGTAAAACAAATGGAAAGAAAGTGGTTTCAAAAAATCCCGATGAGGGCTTTTTTTATAGTACTATTGTTGCTTATCAGTACATAGTACATTCATACATAACAACACATTACGAATCCAGTTCACATGCATATAGGCACGTATTAATAATGTCTTAATCAACTGTTACACATTTACTATTATTAGCTGTACAATCAAATCTAATCCACGTGGATATTGATCCGTACTATATATCCTTGATATTACATAGTACATACCTTCATTCATCAACCATGGCAAATTTTAGTCCGGACATCCCTTGTCCACATGGTTATCAATTTTTGGTCTACCTACCAATTTTTGGTCTCTTAATCAACCAACCTCTTAGAAATCATCATCCCACTCGGGAGTGCTACCCTCCTTGCTCCAGGCCCATAACATTTGGGGGTGAATATACTGAAACTATACCTGACATCTGGTTCTTACTTCAGGGCCATAATACTAAGATCGCCCACATGTTCCCCTTAAATAAGACATCTCAATGGACTAGTGACTGCCACCCTATTAACCAGTCAGGGGAGGACTGTCATGCATTTGGTATTTTTAACTTTGGGGGATGCTGTTACTCCCCATCGCGGAAGGCCTGGTCCCTGCCAGATCTGCTGTAGACGAACTCGGATTTGATTCCTAACAAACTAATTGTAGAAGCTGAGCTTATATTGAATATTCCGGGTTGACATAATAACCATAAGGTTAATTAATTCATGCTTGAAAGACATAACAATCAAGACGCTCAGGCACTTACCCTCACGCACTTTCGAGAACTATTTTTGATTAAATCCGCGACCCCTCTCCTCCTATCTGTGACTTTACCATCAACCTAAGTAAACTGTATCCTTGCCAAATCACAAAAACAAGAGACTAAAATGCAAACTAGTCAGAGTCCAGAGATCATATTTTAACCACAAACACTCCAACAGCTACTCCTCGACTGATGTAATTTTTCTAAAAATCTTAAGACTCTCCTACCAAAGTAATCCCCATTTTGTATAACAAATATAATAACTAAATTTCCACCCTAATACTAATACACCTTGAGCATCTCCCTCTGAAAGCCCTGCCCCATTATATCATACCCTAAATTAACCATACTCTAATTATGACCAATCCTCCCAGCTAAACCTCTGCCAATAAAGACCCTGAATTTCCAGAACTCTAAACAAATATTTACACTTCTTTCTTTCTTTTTCTTTCTCTCTCTCTCTTTTTCTTTCCTTTCTTTCTTTCCCTTCTTTCTTTCTTTCCTTCCTTTCTTTCTTTCTCTCTCATATTTTAACTTTTCTACTAAGTATTTATATAGTTAATGGATGTTAATTATTCAAAGCAAGACACTGAAAATGTCTAGTTGGGTCCACACCACCCGATGAACAGATAGGTTTTGTCCTGGCCTTTTTATTAGCTCTTAGTAAGATTAAACATGCAAGCTTCCCTGCCCCAGTGAAAATCCCCTCTAGATCACCGGGTCAAAAGGAGCAGGTATCAAGCACGCACGAATGCAGCTCAAAACACTTTGTTAACCACACCCCCACCGGAAACAGCGGTGATAAATCTTTAGTAATAAATGAAAGTTTGACTAAGCTATACTAATGTTAAGCGTTGGTTAATTTCGTGCCAGCCACCGCGGCCATACGATTAACCCGAGCTAATAGGACTCGGCATAAAGAGTGTTTAAGGTCTACCCTCAATAAAGCTAAACCCCATCTAAGTTGTAAAAAACTCAGCTGAAATAAAATATACTACGAAAGTGGCTTTAATACCCTGAAGACACAATAGCTAAGATGCAAACATTAGTTACCCCACTATGCCTAGCCATAAACTCTAATAGTTACATTAACAAAAACAGTCGCCAGAGTACTACAACAGCTTAAAATTCAAAGAACTTGGTGGTGCTTTATATCCCTCTAGAGGAGCCTGTTCTATAACTGATAAACCCCAATACACCTCACCACCTGTTGCCCTCCAGCCTTATACTGACTGCTATCTTCAGCAAACCCTTAAAAGGCTATAGAGTAAGCACAAGTACGCACATAAAAACATTAGGTCAAAGTGTAGCCCATAAGGTGGCAAGAAATGGGCTATATTTTGTATGTCCAGAAAATCTCATGACAATTCTTATGAAATCTAAGGACTCAAGGAGGATTTAGCCATAAACCAAGAGCAGAGCACTTGGTTAAATAAGGCCGTGAAGTACGCACACACCGCCCATCACCCTCCTCAAATATTACTGTAGAAATCACTATTACTAATAACTTTCTACATGCATACAGAAGAGATAAGTTGTAACATGGTAAGCATACTGGAAAGTGTGCTTGGACAAACCAAAATGTAGCTTAACTCAAAGCATCCGGCTTATACCCAGAATATTTCAGCATGACCTGATCAATTTGAACCAACTCTAGCCCCGAACGTTGCTAAAAATATTATCAAAATATCTTAAACCATTTACCTTAGACAAAAGTATAGGTGATAGAAATTTTTATCCTGGTGCAATAGACATAGTACCATAAGGGAAAGATGAAAGAACTGTATCAAGACCTAAAAATCAAAGACAAGCCCTATACCTTTTGCATAATGTATTAACCAGAAATAACTTTACACAGAGAACGACAGACAAGTCCCCTGAAACCAGATGAGCTACCCAAGAATAACTGAAAGCGCACACCCACCTATGTGGCAAAATAGTGGGAAGATTGATGAGTAGGGGGGACAAGCCTACCAAGCCTAGTGATAGCTGGTTGTCCAAGATAGAGTTTTAGTCCAACTTTAAACTTACCCACAGAATTACTTAATCTCCTTGTAAGTTTAACTGTTACTTTAAAGAGGGACAGCTCTTTAGAGCGTAGGAAACAACCTTCCTATAGAAAGTAAAAAATATTATTACCACCATACTTGGCCCAAAAGCAGCCACCAATTAAGAAAGAGTTTAAGCTCAACGTCTAACTACCTTAAATTCTAATCGCTCTACTGAACTCCTAACATCACGTTGGACTAATCTATTATTTAATAGAAGCAATAATGTTAGTATAAGTAACATGAAGACATTCTCCATTGCATAAGCTTACAGCAGACTGGAATAACCCATTGACAGTTAACAGCCTAATATTAATAAATGATACAATAAGCACCCTATTATTTACACTGTTAACCCATCTCAGGTAAGCTCTAAGGAAAGATTACAAAAAGTAAAAGAAACTCAGCAAATCATACCCTGACTGTTTACCAAAAACATCACCTCTAGCATTAACAGTATTAGAGGCACTGCCTACCCAGTGACATATGTTTAACGGCCACAGTATCCTGACAGTGCACAGGTAGCATAATCACTTGTTCCCTAAATAGGGACTTGTATGAATGGTTACATGAGGATTCAGCTGTCTTACTTTTAATCAGTGAAACTGACCTATCCGTGAAGAAACAGATATAAACAAATAAGAGAAGAAGACCCTATGGAGCTTTAATTCATTAATGCAAATAAAAACTCAAACAAGCCTACAGGCCCTAGCCTACTATCCTTGCATTTAAAATTTTGGTTGAGGTGACCTTGGAGCATAATTCAACCTCCGAACAACCTAAATTAAGACTGCACTAGCCTAAGTGAGTTAAAACACACTGACCCAATGATTCGATCAACAGAATAAGTTACCCTAGGGATAACAGCTCAATCCTATTCTAGAGTTCATATCGACAATAGGGTTTACGACCTCGATGTTGGATCAGGACATCCAAATGGTGTAGCCACTATTAAGGGTTTGTCTGTTCAAAGATTAAAGTCCTATGTGATCTGAGTTCAGACTAGAGTAATCCAGGCCGGTTTCTATCTATTTAACATTTCTCTTAGTATGAAAGGACAAGAGACATAGGCCCACTTCATAAAGTGCCCTCACTCCATAGATGATGCTCTCTCATTCTAACAAATCATCACACACACTATTCAAGAACAAGGTTTGTTAAGATGGCAGAGCCCAGCAATTGCATAAATCTTAAAACTTTATAATCAGAGGTTCGACTCCTCTTCTTAACAACATGCCTATAACTAACCTTCTCCTACTCATTATCCCCACTCTTATTGCTATAGCATTCTTTACACACATCAAACGCAAAATTTTAGGCTATATACAACTATGCAAAGGACTGAACATTGTAGGTTCCTACGAGATGCTTCAACCATTCAGTGATGCAATAAAACTTTTCACCAAAGAACTGTTACAGCCCTCAGCAAGTACTATTACCCTTATATTACTGCTCCAGTCCTTGCCCTTTCTATCACTCTCCTCTTACAAACTCCCCTCCCTATACCAAATCCTCTAGTTAATTTTAATATAGACCTCCTTTTTATACTAGCCACATCAAGCCTGACCATCTATTCTGTGATCAAGATGAGCACCTAATTCAAAATATGCACTAATGAGTCCATTACAAGTTATGGCCCAGACAATGTCTTATGAGGTCACCCTAGCCATTATCCTACTATCAGTCCTACTGAGAAGCGGCTCGTTTAACTTACCAAACACTCGTCATAATGCAAGAATTCGTATGACTGCTCCTACCATCATGGCCCCTAGACATAATATGATTTATCTCCACACTAACTAGCAGAAACTAACTGAGCCCCTTTTGATCTAGCAGAAGGATAGTCAGAGTTAGTCTCAGGCTTCAACATTGAATATGCTGCAGGCTCATTGGCCCTCTTTTTTATAGCAGAATACATGAATATTATCATAATAAATGCCCTAACCTCTTACTTTCCTAGGAGCACGACACATGATATATTCACCAGAACTCTATACCACAAATTTCATTACCAAAACCCTTCTTTTAACCACCCTATTTTTTATGAATTTCAATGGCATACCCTCGATTCCACTACAACTTACTCATATACCTTCTGTGAAAAAACTTCCTACCACTTACACTAGCATTCTACATATATCTCAATGCCTGTCCTAATTTCCAGCATCCCACCCCAAACATAAGAAATATGTCTGACAAAAGAATTACTTTGATAGAGTAAATAATAGAGATTAAATTCCTCTTATTTCTAGAACTATAGGAATTGAACCTACCCCTGAGAATTCAAAATTCTCCATTCTACCTATTACACCATGTCCTAGAGTAAGGTCACCTAAATAAACCATCAGACCCATACCCTGAAAATGTTGGTTACACCCTTCCCATACTAATTAATCCCTTGGCTCAACTTATTATTACTCTTACTATTTTCACAGGAACTCTTATCACCACAATGCTAGGCTCACACTGATTTCTCATCTGAACAGGCCTGGAAATAAACATACTAGTCCTTATCCCAAACTTAACTTAAAAAATAAATCCCTGCTCTGCAAAAGCAGCCACTAAATATTTCCTTACACAAGTAACTGCATCCATAATTCTCATGATAGGTATCCTTTCCAATAGCCTGTCCTCCAGACAAGGAACAATAATAAACACTATTAATCAATGTTCATCCTTAATAATAATAGTAGCCCTAATGATAAAACTAGGAATAGCCCCCCTTTCACTTCTGAGTCCCAGAGGTAACCCAAGGAATCTCTTTAACATCTGGTATACTTTTTCTCACATGACAAAAACTAGCCCCTATCTCGATCATGTTTCAAATTTTCCTATCAACACGAACATCCTCCTGTTGATCACAATCCTATCCATTATAGTGGGTGGTTGAGGAGGACTTAACCAAACACAATTGTGTAAAATCCTAGCCTACTCCTCAATCACTCACACAGACTGAATAATTAGCAGTACTAATCTATAACCCAAACATTACCATTCTAAACTTTATTATTTACCTCATCTTAACAACAACTGCATTTCTAGCACTCAACCTGAGTATAAGCACCACAACCCTGTCACTGTCTCATGCCTGAAACAAATTAGCATGGTTGACACCTATAATTCCACTAATTCTATTATCCCTAGGAGGTTTACCCCCATTAACAGGGTTCCTGCCTAAATGAATCATCATCCAAGAATTTACAAAAAACAATAGCCTTATTACACCAACCATTATAGCTATCATAACCCTACTCAACCTGTACTTTCATATAAGCCTAATTTATTCCATCTCAGTGACACTATTCCCTGCATCTAATAATATGAAAATAAAATGACAATTCGAAAACACAAAACCCACACTACTCTTCCCCCGACTTCTCATCTCTTCTACCCTCCTCTTACCCATCTCTCCATTAATACTAACCATAACTTAGAAATTTAGGTTAAATAAGACCAAGGGCCTTCAAAGCCCTTAGTAAGTAAGTCACACTTAATTTCTGTAACAGGTCTGAGGACTGCAAGACTCTATTCTGCATCAATTGAACGCAAACCAAGCATTTTAATTGAGCTAAGCCCTTGCTAGATTGGTGGAATTCAAACCCATGAAAATTTAGTTAACAGCTAAACACCCTAATCAACTGGCTTCAACCTATTTCTCCTGCTGTTGGGGGAGAAAGGCAGGAGAAGCCCCGGCAGGATAGAAGCTGCTCCTTTAAATTTGCAACTCAACATGAGAAATCACCTCAGCGCTGGTAAAAGGAGGCCTTGACCTCCATCTTTTGATTTACAGTCTAACGCTTACTCAGTCATTTTACCTTTTTTTCCCCACTTATGTTCATCAATTGTTGATACCACAAAGATATAGGAACACTAAAAGTGCTATTCGATGCGTGAGACGGGATAATAGGCACCGCCTTAAGCCTTCTAATTCGAGCAGACTTAGGCCAACTAGGAACTCTGCTAGGAGATAATCAGATCTACAATGTTATTGCTACCGCCCACGCATTCGTTATAATTTTCTTTAAGGTAATACCAATCATGATGGGGGGTTTCAGCAACTGTCTACTCCCTCTGATAATTCGTGCACCGATATGGCATTCCCCCGGATAAATAATATGAGCATCTGACTTCTCCCCCCATCTTTTCTACTCCTACTTGTGTCCTCAATAGAAGCCGGCGCTGGAACCAGCTGAACAGTTTATCCCCCTTTAGCAGAAAACCTAGCACATGGAGGAGCCTCTGTGGACCTGATCATCTTCTCGCTCCACTTAGCAGGTATTTCTTTTATTTTAGGGGCCATTAATTTTATTATCACAATTATTAACATAAAACCCCCCGCCATATTTTTATTCTTCTCTTTTTATTTCTTTTTTTTTTTTATTCTTTTCCCTGTTCCTCCTGCTTATTACAGAAAAAAAAAAAAAAAAAAAAGACCCAGAAGGTACAGAAAAGGAAGGACACAGACTACGGACTTTGGCACCCATGATATGACCCAGTGATGAATTCCAAGTTTACTTTTGCCTCATATAGTTCAGAGTTGGTATCAGGAACTTGGAAATGCCCACGGGTGCAGAGAAGAAACAACAACAACAACAACAACAAAAGTTTGCTCTCTCTAGCCAAAGGACCTGAAAACTGTCAGCCTAGAAAGACAGAAAAAGTTTAGACCATAACTGCTCTACTCTAGCCAAATGTGAGAGGAAAAATAACAGACAAAAATAAACAAGCCAACTGTATCCACGCCCCCCACCCATGCCAACAAAGCTACCTGGAGAGTCTAGATTTCCACCTTTATCAGCTGTCCCCACTCCTCCCACCCAGGGTGGTGTCACAGAAGGCCATAGAGGGAGCTGGAATTTTATGCCTGCCAGTTAGTAACAAGGTCCCCTTTCCTGAATGTGTCAGTGGAGAACACAGAGAACCTGAACTTCCACCCCTACCTGACCATAATAAGATGTCCCTCCACCATCCCCACTGGCTGATACCAGAGGAGGTCTAATTGAGTGGTAGAATTTTGCTACAGTCCAGCAGTAGCAAAGCTACTCCCTCCGCCCATGGTGCCAGTGGAAATCAGGATGGGAAGAGTAATGACATATTCTGATTTCTCCCAGCCAGGGAGGTATCAGGGGAGGCCTAGCGTGGAGCTGAAACTCCTACCCACACACAGTAGTAACAAGGAGCTCTCTTCCCTTCGATGCCGTGCATGTCACGTAAAGAATCAGGAGTTTTAATAGCATCTGGCAGTCATGAGGTGAAGACACCCCCCGTTTCTGCCAGAGTAGTATTGGAATAAGTCAGCTAAAAGAGATGGTTTATATATGATTCTTGGAGTCATAAAATAATGAAAATGATGCAAATTGACAGTCATATCAAAAAATAGGAAGATCTCAAACTGAATGGAAAAAGACAATTATTAGATGACAATACTAAGATTAGAGTTATCTGACATATTTTAAAACAGCCATTATTATAAAAATACTTCACTAAGAATTATAAACATGCTTGCTGATATGGTTTGGATACCTGTCCTCATCCAAATCTCTTGTACTGTAATCTCCAGTGCTGGAGATAGGGCCTGGTGGGAGGTGATTGGATCATGTGGGTGAATTTCTCATGAATAGTTTAGCACCATTTTCTTGGTACTGTCCCCATGATGGTGAGTGAGTTCTTGTAAGGTTCTCGTGATAGTGAGTGAGTTCTTGTAAGATCTGGTCTTTTAAAGTATGTGGTAACTCCCCTCCCTCATTCCTGCATTTGCAACATGATCTGCCTGCTCCTCTTCAGCTTCCGGCATGATTGTACATTTCCAGAGGCTTTCCCAAAAGCTGAGTAGATGCCAGCATCATACTTCCTATAAAGCTTGCAGAACCGTCAGCCAACGAAATCTCTTTTCTTTATAAATTACCCAGTCTCAGGTATTTCTTTATAACAATACAAGAATGGCTTAATACATTTGGAATAAATGACAAAAAGATAAATGAAATAAATAAAAAATATATAAAGTTTCACCAAGGTATAGAAGATACAAAGAAGAACCAAATGGAAATTTTGAAACTGAAAAATACAATGACTAGGTTTTTGGCCAAGATGATTGATTAGAAACAGTAACAGCCGGGCGCGGTGGCTCACGCCTGTGATCCCAGCACTTTGGGAGGTTGGAGGCGGGCGCATCACGTGGTCGGGAGATCAGCCCATCCTGGCTAACACGGTGAAACCTCATCTCTACTAGAAATACAACAAATTAACTGGGTGTGGTGGCGGGTGCCCGTAGTCCCAGCTACTTGGAAGGTTGAGGCAGGAGAATCGCTCGAACCCAGGAGGCGGAGGTTGCAGTGAGCCGAGATGGTGCCACTGCACTCCAGCGTGGGCAACAGAGCAAGACTCCGTCTCAAAAACAAAACAAAACAAAACAAAAGAACGAACGAAAGAAAGACAAAAGAAACAGCTATAATGCGTGGCACTAACAGAGAGAAACAAAAGGGGTGAGTAAATACAGCACCTTTAACTGAAACATCCAGGTACTAGCATGGGGACTGATCAGGGAAACAGCTGGACCCAGGGAGAATGAAGAAAAGCATGGCAGGGTCACAGCCCACCTGGGAGGACATGAAACCAACGGAGCCCCCACCCTCAGCCAAGAGAAGCAGTGAATGAATGTGCGACCCTAAGAAACCAGGCTTCTTCCAGGGATCTTTGAAACCCTCTGATTTAGGAGATACCCTCATGGGCCCACTCCACGCTGGCCTTGGGTCTGATACACAGAGCTGTGTGGAGTCTCAGCAGAGCACACACAGAGACCCAGGAGCTCTACATTCTCTGGCCTGGGGAATACCTGGCAAAAGTGACTGCAACTCAGGCAAGGCTGGTCTGTACACACCCCTAGAAAGGGAGCTGAGCAGTGTTGGTCTGAGGGCCCCACTTCCATGGCACCTCACGAGGTAAAACTGACTGGCTTGGAATTCCAGCCAGCTGCCGGTCACGGTGTGTGCCTACCTGAGATGGGATGGAACTTCTGGAGAGAGAGGCAGACTTGCCATCTTTGCTGTTCAGATGACTCAGCCATTCCAGCGTGCAGGCTTCGGAGAATCCAAATGGACTGGATGTGAAAGGGCATCCCCCAGCACACTACAGCTCCTTTATCAAAATATGACCAGACAGGTTTAAGCGGGACGGGATCCTTTTTTCTCACTGAGCAGAGCCTCCCAGCCAGGGCCTCCAGCCACCTCCACTGGCGTTCTATGGACAGAGTTCTGATTTCTCCTTGAGACAAACTGCCCGAGGGGAGGGGTGGGCCTCAACCTTTGCTAGTTGGGTTACTCAGCTGTTCCAGTCTGTGGGCTTTGGAGAGTCTAAGCGGACTGAGGCAGAAAGCAGTACCCGAGCACCTGGCCGCCACTTTGCTGAGGCGTGGCCAGACTGCTTCTTTATATGGGACACCTGGATCCATTCCTCTTCACTGGGAGGGATTCAGCTGGGGCCTCCCGCCACCCCTGCTCATGTTCTACAGCTGACAGAGTTCTAATTTCTCCCTGGGACAGAGTGGCCTGGTGGTGGGGCGGGCTGCCACCTTTGCTGTTTGGGTGTCTCAGCCATTCCAGCCTGAGCAAGGCAGGGGCTGAAGGGATCACCCAACAAGCACAGCTGCTCTACCAAAATCAGCCAGACTGCTTTTCTAAGTGGGGCCCTGATCCTGTTCTTCCTGTCTGGGTGAGAGCTCCCAACCGGGGTCTCCAGCCACCTTCTACAGGTGTGTTTGGGTGGCCACAGGTCTGTGCCTGCCTGGGACAGAGCTCCCAGAGAAAGGGACAATCTGCCATCTGTGCTGTTTTGCAGCCTTCACTGGTGATACTTCCAGGTACTGAAAAATGTCAGGTGACTAGGGTCTGGATTGGACCCTCAGCAAACCACCAGTAGCCCTACAGAAAAGTGCCATACTGTTAAAAGAAAAACAAACAAGCAAACAAAAAGAAATAAAACCCCATAAATTCCCCATCCAAACATCAGTCACCTCAAAGACTGAAGGTAGATAAGTCCACAAAGATGAGAAAAAGAGCAGAAACACTGAAAACTCACCCTCTTTCCACCAAATGACCACAACACCTCTCCAGCAAGGGATCAAAACCAAGCTGAGGCTGAGATGGCTGAAATGACAAAATTAGGTTTCAGAATGTGGATAAAAATGAACTTTGCTTAGCTAAAGGAACACATTAGAACCCAACACAAGGAAGCTAAAAATCATGATAATGAGGGAGCTGACAGCCAAAATAGCCAGTGTAGAGAAGAACATAACCAACCTGATGGAGCTGAGAGAAACACTACAAGAACCTCACAATGCAATCACAAGTATTAATAGCAGAATAGATCAAGCAGAGAAAAGAATCTCAGAACTTGAAGACTGTCTTTCTGAAATAAGACAGGCAGACAAGAATAGAGATTGAAAAAAGGAAATAACAGAACTTCACAGAAATATAGGATTATGTAAGCAGACCAAATCTATGACTTATTGGTTGCCCGAAAGAAATGGGGAGAATACAACAAATTTGGAAAACATATTTCAGGATATCATATAGAACTTTTGCAACCTAGCTAGAGAGGCCAAGATTCAAATTCAAGAAATGCAGAGAACCCCAGTAAGATACTCCATGAGAAGATCAACCCAAAGACACATAATAATCAGATTCTCCAAGGTCAAAATAAAAAAAAATATTAAAGGCAGCCAGAGAGAAAGGCCAGATCACCTACAAATGGCAGCCCATCAGACTAACAGCCAACCTCTCAGTAGAAACTCTACAAGCCAGAAGAGATTGGGAGTCAATATACAACATTTTTAAAGAAAAGAAATTCCAAGCCAGAATTTCATAAACGAAGCTTCATAAGTAAAGAAGAAATAAGATCTTTTTCAGACAAGCAAATGCTGAGGAATTCATTACCACTAGGCATGCCCTTACAACAGCTTCTGAAAGAAGCACTAAATATAGAAAGGAAAAACCATTACCAGCCACTACAAAAACACACTGAAGTACACAAACCAGTGACACTATGAAGCAACCATATAAACAAGCCTGCACAATAACCAGCTAGCATCATGATGACAGGATCAAATCCACACATAACAACATTGTATTAGTCAATTTTTATGCTGCTGATAAAGACATACCCAAGACTGGGAAGAAAAAGAGGTTTAATTGGACTTACAGTTCCACATGACTGGGGAGGCCTCAGAATAATGGTAGGAGGCAAAAGGCACTTATTACGTGGTGATGGCAAGAGAAAATGAGGAAGATGAAAAAGCAGAAATACCTAAAAAAACCATCAAATCTCATGAGACTTGTTCACTACCATGAGAACAGTATGGGGGAAACTGCCACCATGATTCAAATTATTTCCCACTGAGTCCCTCCCACAACACATGAGAATTATGGGAGTACAATCCAAGATGAGATTTTCATGGGGACACAGAGCCAAACCATATCATTCCACCCCTGGCCTCTCACAAATCTCATGTCCTCACATTTCAAAACCAATCATGCCTTCCCAACAGTACCCCAAAGTCTTAACTCATTTCAGCATTTACCCAAAAGTCCACAGTCCAAAGTCTTATCTGAATCAAGGCAAGTCCCTTCTGCCTATGAGCCTGTAAAATGAAAAGCAAGCTAGTTACTTCCTAGATACAATGGGCGTACAGGTATTATGTAAATACAACCTTTTCAAATGGGAGAAATTGGCCCAAATAAAGGGCTTACAGAGCCCATGCAAGTCCAAAATCCAGCAGGGCAGTCAAATTTTAAAGCTCCAAAATGATCTCCTTTGACTCCATGTCTCACATCCAAGTCACGCTGATGCAAGAACTAGGTTCCCATAGTCTTGGTCAGCTGTGTCCCTGTGGCTTTGCAGGGTATAGCACCCCTCGTGGCTGTTTTCACGGGCTGGTGTTGAGTGTCTGAGAATTTTCCAGGCACATGGTATAAGCTGTCAGTGGATCTACCGTTCTGGAGTCTGGAGGACTGTGGCCGTCTTCTCATAGCTCCAGTAGGCAGTGCCCCAGTAAGGACTGCGTGGGGACTCCAACCACACATTTCCCTTCCACGCTGCCCTAGCAGAAGTTCTCAATGAGAAGTTCCCCATGAGGGCCCCACCCCTGCAACAAACTTTTGTCTGAGCATCTAGGCATTTTCATACATCTTCTGAAATCTAGGTGCCTCAATTCTTGACTTCTGTGCACGAGCAGGCTCAACACCACATAGAAGCTGCCAAGGTTTGGGGTTTGCACACTCTGAAACCATAGACCAAGCTTTACCTTGGCCCCTTTTACAATGGCTGGAATGGCTGGGGAGCAGGGCATCAAGTCCCTAGGCTGCACACAGCATGGGGCCCCTGGGCCTGGCCCACAAAACCATTTTTTCCTCTTAGATTTCCAGGTCTGTGATGGGAGGGTCTGCCATGAAGACCCATGATATGCCCTGGAGACATTTTCTCCATTATCTTGGGGATTAACATTTGGCTCCTTGTTACTAATGCAAATTTCTGCAGCCAGCTTGAATTTCTCCTCAAAATATGGGTTTTTCTTTTCTACTGCATTGTCAGGCTGCAAATTTTCCTAACGTTTATGCTTTGTTTCTCTTTTGAAAGTGAATACTTTTAACAGCACCCAAGTCATCTCTTGAATACTTTTCTGCTTAGAGATTTCTTCTGCTAGATACCCTAAATCATCTCTCTCAAGTTCAAAGTTCCATAAATCTCTAGGGCAGGGGCAAAATGCCGCCAGTCTCTCTGCTAAAACATAACAAGAGTCACCTTTGCTCCAGTTCCCAACAAGTTATTCATCTCTATCTGAGACCACTTCAGCCTGGATTTCGTTGTCCATCCCATTATCAGTATTTTTGACAAAGCCATTCAACAAGTCTCTAGGAAGTTCCAAACTTTCCCACATTTTCCTGTCTTCTGAGTCCTCCAAACTGTTCCAACCTCCACCTGTTATCCAGTTCCAAAGTCGCTTCTACATTTTTGGGTATTTTTTCAGCAATGCTCCACTCTACTGATACCAGTTTATCGTATTAGTCCATTTACGTGCTGTTGATAAAGACGTACCCAAGACTGGGAAGAAAAAGAGGTTTAATTGGATTTACATGTCCACATGACTGGGGAGGCCTCAGAATTATGGTGGGAGGCAAAAAGCACTTATTACATGGATGCAGCAAGAGAAAATGAGGAAGCTGCAAAAACAGAACCCCCAATAAAACCATTGGCTCTTGTGAGACTTGTTCACTACCATGAGAACAGTATGGGGGAAACTGCACTCATGATTCAAATTATTTCTCACTGGGTCCCTCCCACAACACATGGAAATTATGAGAGTACAATTCAAGATGAGATTTGTGTGGGGACATAGAGCCAAACCATATCAGACACTAATCTTAAATGTAAATGGGCTAAATGCCTCCATTAAAAGACACAGAATGGCAAGCTGGAAAAAAAAATGAAGAACCGTTGGTATGCTGTCTGCAAGAGACCCATCTCACATGCAAAGACATACATAGGAAAGACAAACATAGACACACATAGGATGAAAATTTTTCAAGAAAATGGAAAACAGAAAAAAGCAGAGGTTGCAACCCTAGTTTCTGAGAAAACAGACTTTAAACCAACAAAGATTTTTAAAAAAACAAGAGCATTACATAATGCCAAAGGGTTCAATTCAACAAGAAGAGCTAACTATGCTAAATATGTATTCACCCAATACAGGAGGACCTAGAATCATAAAGCAAGTTTTTAGAGACCTTTAAAGAAACTTTACTTCCACACAAGAATAGTGGGAGACTTCAACACCCCACTGTCAATATTAGATTATCGAGGGAGAAAATTAACAAAGATATTCAGGACCTGAACTCAGCTGTGAATCAAATGGACCTGACAAATATCTACAGAACTCTCCACCCAAAAACAACAGAATTCTTCACATTGCCACATGGCGCATACTCTGAAATTGATCACATAAAATCAAAGCAAATGCAAAATAAATGAAATAATGACAGTCTCTTGGACCACAGCACAATGAAATTATAACTCAAGACTAACAAATTCACTCAACATACAACAACATGGAAGTTGAACAACGTGCTTCTGAATGACTTTGTGGTAAATAATGAAATTTAGGCATAAATCAAGGAGTTCTTTGAAACTAATAAGAACAAAAGTACAAGTGCCAGAGTCTCTGGGACATAGCTAAGGCAGTGTTAAGAGGGAAATTTACATCACTAAATGCCCACATCAAGCATTTAGAAAGATCTCAAGTTATCAACCTAACATCCCAACTAATAGAAGTAGAGAACCAAGAGCAAACAAACCCAAAACTAGCAGAAGATAAGAAATACCCCAAATCAGAGCTGAACTGAAGGAGTTAGAGACATGAAAAACCCTCCAAAGGATTGACAAATCTAGGAGCTGTTTTTTGAAAAACATAATCAAATAGATAGATCACTAGCTAGACACAAAAAGGGAAAAAGAGAGAAGATTCAAATAAACACAATCAGAAATGATGAGAAGAATATTACCACTGATACCATACAAATGTAAATAACCCTTAGAGAATATTATAAACACCTCCGTGAACATAAAGTAGAAACTCTAGAAGCAATGAGTAAATTCCTGAACACATACACCCTCCCAAGACTGAACCAGGAAGAACTGGAATTGCTGAGTGGACCAGTAACAAGTTCTGAAGCTGAGGCAGAAATAAATAGCGTACCAACCAAAAAAAGCTGAAGACCAGACAGATTCATAGCTGAATTCTACCAGATGTACAAAGAAGAGCTGCTACCATTCCTACTGAAACTTTTTCAAAGAATTGAAAAAGAGGGATTCATTTCTAACCCATTCAATGAGGCCAACATGATCCTGATAACAAAACAAACCTAGCAGAGATAAAACTAAAACAGAAAACTTCAGGCCAATATCCTTGATGAACATCAATGCAGAAATCCTCAACAAAATACTGGCAAACTGAATCCAGCAGCACATCAAAAAGCTTATCCATCATGATCAAGTAGGCTTCATCCCTGGGATGCAAGGTTGGTTCAACATACTCAAATCATTAAAAGTGATTTATCACATAAACAGAGCTAAAGACAAAATCCACATGATTATCTCAGTAGATGCAGAAAAGACTTTCAATAAAATTTAATACTGCTTCTAGTTAAAAAGTCTCAAGAAACTAGGTATTGAAGAAACATATCTCAAAATAATAAAAGCCATCTATGACAAAACCACAGCCAATATCATACTAAATGGGCAAAAACTGGAAGCATTCCCCTTGAAAACCAGCACAAGACAAGGATGCCCATTCTCATCACTCATATTCAGCATAATATTGGCTGTTCTTGCCTGGGTAATCAGGCAAGAGAAAAAAAATTAAGATATTCAAATAGAAAGACAGCAAGTCAAATTATCTTTGTTTGCAGTTTCTGCATTTAGAAAACCCCATTGTCTCAGCCCAAAAGCTTCTTCAGCTGATAAGCAGCTTCAGCAAAGACTCAGGATACAAAATCAATGGGCAAAAGAAACTAGAATTCCTATACACCAACAACAGGCAAGCAGAGAGCCTTGCACAATCCTATTTACGATTGTCACAAAAAGAATAAAATTCCTAGGAATACAGCTAACAAGGGAAGTAAAGAATCTCTACAAGAAGAACTACAAACCACTGCTCAGAGCAATCAGAGATGACACAAATGGAAAAACATTCCATGCTCATAGATGGTAAGAATCAATATTGCAAAAGTGGCCATACTTCCCAAAGCAATTCATAGATTTAATGCTACTCCCATTAAACTACCATTGACACTCTTCACAGAACTAGAAAAAAAAATCTTAAAATTCATACGGAACCAAAAAAGAGTAAGAATAGCCAAGACAAACCTAAACAAAAAGGAAGCATCACACTACCTGCCTTCAAACTATACTAAAAGACTACAGTAGCCAAAACACCGTGGTACTGGTAAAAGAACAGACACAGACCAATTGAACAGAATAGAGAACCCAGAAATAAGACTGTACACCTACAACCATCTGATCTATGAAAAACCTGGCAAAAACAAGCAATGGGGAAAGGATTCCCTATTTAATAAATGATGCTGAGAGAACTGGCTAGCAATATGCAGAAAATTGAAAATGGACCCCTTCCTTACACCACATACAAAAAAGAACTCAAGATGGATTAAATATTTAAATGTAAAACCCAAAACTATAAAAAAACCCTGGATACAACCTAGGCAATAAGTTTCAGGACACAGGCACAGACAAACATTTTTTGATGAAGACCCCAAAAGTAATTGCAACAAGCAAAAATTAACAAGTGGGACCTAATTAAACTGAGGAGCTTCTGCACAGCAAAAGAAATTACCAGAGTAAACAGACAGCCTATGGTATGAGAGAAAATCTTTGCAATCCATGCATTAGACTAAGGTCTAATATCCAGTATCTATAAGCAACATTTACAAGAAAAAAAAAAACCCTTAAAAAGGGGGCAAAGGACATGAACAGACACTTCTCAAAAGAAGACACATGGCAGCCAACAATCACGAAAAAAAGTTCAACATCACTTGTTACTAGAGAAATGTAAATCAAACCACAATGAGGCTGGGCACGGTGGCTCACGCCTGAAATTCCAGCACTTTGGGAGGCCAAGGTGAGTGGATCACCTGAGGTCAGGAGTTCGAGACCAGCCTGGCTAGCATGGTGAAACCGCGTCTCTACTAAAAATACAAAAATTAGCCGGATTTGGTGGCAGGCACCTGTAATCCCAGCTATTCAAGGGGCTGAGGAAGAATTGCTTGAACCTGGGAGGCAGAGGTTGCAGTAAGCCAAGATCATGCCACTGCACTCCAGCCTGGGTGACAAGAGTGAGACTCTGTGAAAAACAAAAAACAAACAAACAAAAAAACCCACAATGATATATATCTCACACCAGTCAGAACAGCTATTATTAAAAAGTCAAAAAAAAATAGATGCTTGTAAAGTGGTGAAGAAAATGGAAGACTTTTACACTGTTGGTGGGAGTGTAAATTAGTTCAGCCATTACAGAAGACAGTGTGGCTGTTCCTGAAAACCTAGAGACAGAAATACCATTTGACACAGCAATACCATTACATTATTTACCCAGAGGAAAATAAATTATTCTGTTACAAAGGCATGGGCTGGGCATAGTAGCTCATGCCTGTAATCTCAGCACTTTGAGAGGCCAAGGTGGGTGGATCACTTGAGGTCAGCAGTTTGAGACCAACCTGGCCAACATGGTAAAACCCCCTCTCTACTAAAAATACAAAAATTAGCCAGACGTGGTGGCAGGTGCCTTTAATCTCAGGTACTCAAGAGTCTCAGAAGGGAGAATCTCTTCAACCCAGGAGGTGGAGGTTGCCGTGAGCTGAGATTGTGCCACTGCATCCCAGCTTAGGTAGCAGAATGAGACTCTGTCTCAAAAAAAAAAAAATGTACATGTACACGACAAGTTCACTGCAGCACTATTCACAATAACAAAGGTATGGAATCAACCCAAATGCTTGTTTTTGTCAGATTTTTCATAGACCAAATGGTTGTAGATGTGCAGTCTTATATCTGGGTGTTCTATTCTGTTCCATTGGTCCATGTGTCTGTTCTTATACCAGTACCATGCTGTTTTGGTTACTACTGTAGCCTTATAGTATAGTTTGAAGGCGGGTAGTGTGGTGCCTCCTTTTTGCTTATGATTGCCTTGGCTATTCTGGCTTCTTTTCTTTGGTTCCACTGCATCATCCAATGATAGGCTGCTTAAAGAGAATGTAGTACATATACGGCATGCAATACTATGTAATCATAAAAAGCAATGAGATTATGTTCTTTGCAGGGACATGGATGGAGCTGGAGGCCATCATTTTCAGCAAACTAATGCAGAACAGAAAACCAAATACCACATGTTCTCACTTATAAGTCGGAGCTAAATGATGACAACACATACAAACATACAGAGGAACAATGCACACTGGGGCCTACCAGAGGGCAGACAGTGGAGGAAGGAGAGCTTCAGAAAAAATCACTAATGGATACTAAGCTTAATAACTGAGTAACAAAAAAATCTGCACAACAAGTGCCCATGACACACATTTACCTATGTAACAAACCTACCCATCCTGCACAAGTACTCCTGAACTTAAAAGTTAAAAGAAAGACACATTCAATCTATAAGTAAACTCTTAGAACTAAGTGAGTTGAGCAAGAACACATGATAAAAGATAAACATTTAAAAAGGTTTTATTTCTATATACTAAAAATGAACCAGAAATATTAAAAATGCAATTTAGAATCATTCAAAAAACAGGAAATACTTAGATGTAAATCCATTAATAAATATACAGAATGCTGAAAGCTACAAAACACAGATGAAATAAGTCAAAGAAGACACTGATTTATTGAAAGTTTATTGCATTTGAAGACTAAGATGCTATTTACCCCATTTGATACATAGGTTTGACATGACTTCTGTCAAAATCCCAGCAAAAAATTTTTGCTAATGTAAAATTTAAACAGAAAGGCAAAGGAACTAAAATAGCAATAACAATTTTGTATGAGAAAAATGAAGTGGGAAAAAAGTGTATCTGATTTTAAAACTTATTGTATAACTATAGTAATCAAAGCTGTATGGTATTGACAAAGGGGTAGACACATAGATTAATGTAAGAATAAATAATTGAGAAATAGACCCATCCGTATATACCCAACTGATTTTTGACAAAAGTTTAAAATTAATACAAGGAAGCAAAGATAGACTTTTCAACAAATGGTTCTGGGGCCACTGAACATTTGTAGGCAAAAAATAAGCTTCTACCTAAGCTTCATTCCTTTTACAAATATTAACTCAAAATGGATCACACTTAAGTATAACCATACAAATCTATAAAACTTTTAGTGAAAAAGCACAGAGGAAAATCTTTAGAATCTCAGGGTAGGTAAAAAGTTCTTAGACTTGTCACCAAAAGCATAATTCATAAACAGAAGAATTGATTAATTTGAATTCATCATAAAACAAAATAAAACAAAACAGAAAGCATTTGTTCAACAAAATACCCAGTTAAAAGGATGAAAAGACAAGTTATATACCGGGAGAAAATATTTGTAAATCACACACCTAACAAAGCACTAGTACTTAGAATACATAAAGAACTGTGAAAACTCAACTGCAAAAGCAAAATAGCAATTCAATTAGAAAATTGACAGAAGATGTTTAGTAGCATTTCGTTGAAGAGAATATATACATAACAAATAAGCATATGGAATAGATTCAAAGCCATTTGCCATTAGGGAAACACAAAATAAATACCCAATGAGATATCACCACACACTTGTCAAATTGCCTAAGTTTAAAAAGATGTGACAGCACAAAATACTGTTCAGGATGCAAACTCTATCATGTACACGTACTTTTGGGAATGTACAGCACCTCTAGTAAACAGGCAACCTCTTAAAAAACTTAAGAGGCAACTACCACATAACCCAGCAATTGCACTCCAGAACACTTATCCCAGAGAAGTGAAGACTTAGGTGCATATAAAAACTCATACAGAAATGTTCACAGCAGCTGTATTCATTATACATGATTCCCCCAAACTAGAAACAACCCAGAGGTCTTTCAACAGAAGAAGGATTAAACTGACATATTTGTATGATGGAATAGAACTCAGCAATAAAAAGGAGTGAACTGTTAATACATTAAACAATCTGGGTGAATCTGAAGGGCATTATTGTGAGTGAAAAAAAGTCAATTTCAAAAGATTATATGCTATATTATTCCATTTGCACAAATTTTGAAATGAGAAAATTATAGAAATGCAAAACAGATTAGTGTTTCCCAAGGGTGATGTAGAGAGCGTTGGGAGGAGGGAAGTGGAAGTGGTTTTAAAAGGCAACATAACAGATCTTTCTGCTGATAGAAATGTTTTGTATCTGTCAACATCTTGATTGTGATATTGTACTTTAGTTCTTTCAAGATATTACCCTGGGAGAAACTGATAAAGAGTATATGTGATTTCTGTCTACTGTTTATTAAACTTACATGTAAATCTATAATTATCTCAAAATAGAAAGTTTAGTTACAAGAAAAAGTAATGGTGAACAAATAAACTTTAGTGAGAAAAAGTGCCCTGTGGTTCTGAATCATCACAAGAGAAATTTTCATAACTTAAATTTAAGTTAAGAAGAATCTATAGGTTTGTAACTCAGATCTTGTAATTTTAGCTGATTGAGAAGGTATGAAAATAAGTATAGAAAAGTAACTCAAGATATGAGTAAAAGCAAGAATAAGAAAAAATTAAAAAGATAAAACCATGAAAAAATTACACATCAAATATCTTAATCATGTAAATGTTTTATACAATTTTAGCAAAAAAATGTAATAACTATGTATTTTCTATATTTTTGAGAAAAAATATTTGGTTTGTGATTATAATGGAATACATTTAAGTATACTATATATACACTATATGTACACTATATATACACTATAGTTTATATATAGTGTATATAAACTATAGTATATATGCACTATATATACTATAAATACACTATCGTATATATACTATACACTATGTTGTACTATACTATATATACACTATATATACCATATATGGCCTATATACTATATATACACTAGTATATACATACTATATACACCCTATATATAGTGTATACTACATACACGCTATATATAGTGTATACTACATACACGCTATATATAGTGTATACTACATACACGCTATATATAGTGTATACTACATACACGCTATATATAGTGTATACTACATACACGCTATATATAGTGTATACTACATACACGCTAAATATAGTGTATACTACATACACGCTAAATATAGTGTATACTACATACACGCTATATATAGTGTATACTACATACACGCTATATATAGTGTATACTACATACACGCTATATATAGTGTATACTATATATACGCTATATGCACACATAAACTATATATACAGTATATAATATGCGTATACTATATACACAGTATATACTACATGTATACTATATATAGTATATAAGATATATACTATGTATATAATATATATACTAGGTATATATATCCATATATATACTATATACTATAGTATATACATATATATGTACGTATATATGTATATGTACATATATATGTAGTATGTATATATATACATATATACACACTATAGTATATACATATATATACTATATATACCCTATATAGAGTATATTATATACAGTATACTATATATACTATATATACCCTATATAGAGCATGTCTATGCTATATATGGCATACTCTATGTATACTATAGAGTATGCTATATATAGTATATAGTATACTCTATGGTATACTATATATACTATAGAGTATACTTTATAGTATATATACCTATATTATATATATATACATACACTGTATAGTATATATGGTATATATACTATATATGGCATATATAGTTTATATATATACTATATATGGTATATATAGTTTATATATATACTATATATGGTATATATAGTTTATATATACCATATATGGTATATATAGTTTATATAGTACATATAGTATATATACACACTGTATAGTATATATTATGTAGTATATATACTATATATACTGTATATATAGTATAAATACTATATATAGTATACACTATATACTATACACTATATATACTATATACTATATACTATATATAGTATACTATATAGTATATAGTATACTCTATATGTACTATAGAGTATACTATATATACTATACATAAAATATTTTTATATATAGTACAGCGTATACTATATACTATATATAGTATACTCTATATGTACTATAGAGTGTAGTATATACTATACAGTATACTCTATATATACTATACAGTACACTATATATACTATATATAGTATATTTTATATATAGTACAGTATATACAGTATATATATTATACTATATGTAGTACATATATAGTTTAGTATATATAGTATATATACTATACTATATGTACTACATATATAATAGTATATATAGTATATATACTATACTATATGTAGTACATATATAGTTTAGTATATATACTAGTATATAGATATATAGTTATATAGATATATAATAGTATATATAGTATATATAGCATATATAGTATATATGCTATATATACTATATAGCATATACTATATACTATATATACAGTATATATAGCATATATAGCATATATAATATATATACTTTTGATATACATACTATATACAGTATATATAGTATATATACTGTATAAATATACTATATATACCGTATATGCACACTATATGCTATATATACTATATACACTATATACAGTATATATAGTACACTATACTATATAAAGTATATATAGTATACAGTACACTATACTATATACATTATATATAGTATATATTATACATAGTATATAGTATATAAATAGTATATATAGTATATACAGTATATATATAGCATACTTTATATAGTATACACAGTATATAGATACTATATATGCTATATATAGTATCTATATACTGTATATTATATATACTAATATAGTATATATGTATATATATACTGTATATATAATATATACATATATAGTATATATACTATACATACACACTATACATATGTATATATACTATACATACTATATACTATATATCCTATATATACTATATAGTATATTATATATCCTATATATACTATATAGTATATTATATATCCTATATATACTATATAGTATATTATATATACTATATACCATATATACTATATATACTGTATAGTATACTATATATACTATATAGTATACTGTATATACTATATAGTATACTGTATATACTATATAGTATACTGTATATACTATATAGTATACTGTATATACTATATAGTATACTGTATATACTATATAGTATACTGTATATACTATATATACTATATAGTATACTGTATATACTATATAGTATACTATATATACTATATACCATATATACTATGTATATACTATATATAGTATATACTATGTATATGCTATATATAGTATATATAGTATATATGCTATATATAGTATATATAGTATATATGCTATATATACAGTCTATATATAGTATATATACTATATAGACTATATATATAGCATATATACTATATATACTATATATAATATATATGGTATATACATAGTATCTATATGTAGTATCTATATATAGTACCTATATATACTATATATAGGTACTATATATAGTATATATACTTTATATAGATACTATATATAGTATATATACTTTATATAGTATATATAGTATATGTAGCATATATAGTATATATAGTATATATAGTATATAGTATGTATAGTATATATAGATTATATTGTATATACAGTATATATACTGTATATACTATATAAATAGTACATACAGTATATACAGTATATATGTACTATATATAGTATATACAGTATATACAGTATATATGTACCATATATAGTATATACAGTATATACAGTATATATGCACTATATGTTATATACAGTATATACAGTATATATGTACTATATAAATAGAATATACTCTATATACAGTATATATGTACTATATAAATATATACACTATGTACAGTATATATGTACTATATAAATAGTATATACACTATATACAGTATATATGTACTATATAGTGTATACAGTATATACAGTATATAGGTACTATATATGGTATATACAGTATATATGCACTATATGGTATATACAGTATATATGCACTATATATGGTATATACAGTATATATGTACTATATATGGTATATACAGTATATATGTACTATATATGGTATATACAGTATATATGTACTATATATGGTATATACAGTTTATACAGTATATATGCACTATATATGGTATATACAGTATACATGTACTATATATGGTATATACAGTATGTACAGTATACATGTACTATATACAGTATATACAGTATACATGTACTATATAGTATATACAGTTTATGCAGTTTACATGTACTATATACAGTATTTATAGTATATATAGCACATATATATGCTAGCATATATTATACTATCAGAGGCTTGGCAGATATTCCATATATACTGTATATATACATATATATGGAGTATTTATACTGTATATATACTATCTATACTGTATATAGTATATATATATCATAAGTATATATATCAAATATATATATCATATATATGATATATATATCATGTGATATATATATATCAAAACTATATATATCTCAAAAGTATATATATACTTTTGATAATCTCAACAGTATGGATTATTCTCTAATAATTATGCTAAGTAAAAGTCACCGTACAAAATAAAATACTTACCATATAATTGCAGTTACATAAAACTGTAGAAAATGCAAACCCATTGATAGTGAGTGAAAGCTGATTAGTGGTTGCCTAGGTACCTGAGGGTGGGGAAGATGGGAAAAAGAGGCTACAAACAGAAGTGAGGAAACTTTGTGGAGGATGAAAATGTTCATTATCTTGACTGTGGTAATGGTTTCATGGATATACGCATATGTCAACAGATTAAATTATACACTTAAAATTTGTGTCATTTATTTTAGTTTAGTTATATATTGATGAAATTTAGTAAAATTAAAGTAAAATGTGCTTTGATTTGTCCAGAGTCTCCAGAACATTAATTATTTCCAAGGCCAAAATAATTGCAAACACACGGCATGAGACCTTTACTTCAGGCCCTCTTTTCCACTTCTGCATGGACCTGGTCTTTCTTTCTAAGGAAATAAAAACCTAAATTCTCAGGGAGGACTGGCAGAAAGTTAATAATAAAGCTTTAGGCAAGAAAAGAAGAATCCAAAGCAAAGCACCTGAATTCAGGCTTCTTGCTCATGGCCAAAGTGTTTCATCTATGCTTCAAACATACTCGAATTTCATTAAGACCAAAATTTGCTCAAGAGTCCCATACAAACAAATTATCTGCATGTTTATGAGATGTGGGGACTGCTGTACCCTGAACCCTTAGAAATAGATAAGTGGCCCTGGCCTTCAGTCAATGACTCTGAGATGCTTCTTCTCTGTACAGTACCAGATTTCAGAGACTCAGCAAGACTCTCTAGCTCACATGAGGTCAATGGCTCCCAAATATCACAGCTTTATTCTACTTAAGCCTCATTTCCAACCTCCCAAATTCTAAAGGCCATTTTCATAAAGAGCAGACACAGTGTCAACTCAAGGACAACTATCAATACACAAAGTAAATTTCTCAACCATATGTACTATTGACTTCTGAAGGAGGAAATCATTGATCTATCTGTGCAGTGAAGGAAAATTTATTTAAAAAAATAATATGTGATAATCAAGTGTGGTAACCAATGTTGTTGAGGGGGAACAATGGGCTTTCAGAGGCTTTGCAGATATTCCACAAAAAGGGAAAGGAAAATGACAATTGTTCCAGTGAAATACAAATAAGATGATAAAATGCAATCCCTTTGTTCATGCAGTTTAATTTCTAAGAAAAATATCTGGAGGGAAAAGCTCCTGTAATTTTAATTTTAATCATGAAGCAGAGAAATATTCTAAATTTTTTTAAAATGACACCCAACTTAGAATAAATAAAAGAACACATTTCTTAACTTATATTAAAAAAAGAGTTTTGTCCTTCAGAGTCTGATCTTGCCTCATACATATGAAATTGTTTCTGCCAAGTGATATTTTTTTTCTCTCCCCAAATTGAAGAAAAGATACTGTTCCCCTAAGACATGGTAATACAATTTCCTTTTCTTCCATTTTGAGTTATCTGATATTTTAGCATGGAACTTGATTTTTTTTTTACAAGTATTGGGATCAGAGACATAACTCAAACCTATTGTATCTACAGTACAAAATATAGTAGCATCATATTTTCTACAGCTACAGCCAACACAACCATAAATACATGAAGAAACATAGAAATCTCTACCATATGGAAGAGAGTTTCAAATTCATTAATTATGATTTAAGGAAAAACACATATTCTTTGGTGTTAAAAAACCTTGAGTTCAAGCTTATCTTCACCTCCAATAAGAGATGAACAGTAGAGTGTTAAAAATTTTCACTGAGATTCTAATGTGGTAGATACTAAACACCAAAGTAAATTGTGAAACAGATCACCCAAGTTAGATGACTCTGAAGCTCCCCCATCTCCAGAGTATTAAAAGGTCAGAAGAAGAGCAGATGGGTGAAGTAGAGAGGAGTGAATTTGCCTGGAGAAGTCTCTGCTGTGGGTTCCATGCTCCCACATAACGGAAGTGTGGGAGGCACAGGTTTCTCCTCTAAATTCTGATAAGAAGGTCCTCAAAAACATTGATTCATGAGTGTGATAAGTTATGTCTGCTCTGCAGCTGAGAGAGAGAATGGGTTTGATCCCAACCAAAAAATAAAAAAATATAATAAAGCAAACAATTCTAGGATTATTTCAGGACACATCCAGTGGTGCTGCCAAGGGAAAAGGAAGCCCCTCAGGAAGAAGTAAAGGTGGGCAACTGAATTCTTAGTCAATGCAGACGTCTTTGCAAGCCACCTGCCAAACTAGACTCAATGACTTGCTGCTGTGAGAAAACTTCAGGAGAGATCTCCAACAACTGGGATTGGAGGGGGTTCAGAAGACTCAAATCCCAGTCTTCAAAGGACCCAGGAGGGGAAGAGGCAGATGTAAATATCTGCCTGTAGAGAGGGCAAAGCTGTGATTAGCCTGTCTGGACATGGAAGGCCACGCCTGTAATCCCAGGATTTGGAAGGCCAAGTCAGGAGGATCTCTTGAAATCGTGAGTTTAAGATCAGTCTGGGCAACATAGCGAGACCCCATATCTACCCCCACAAAGAAAAAAAAAATTAGCTGGCCATGGTGCTGCATACATGTAGTCCTAGCTACTTGGAAGACCTACATTGGAGGATAGCCTGAGCCCAGGAGTTGGAGGTTACAGTGAGCTATAGTCGCACCACTCCATTCCAGCCTGGGAGACAGAGAGAGATCATGTTTCTAAGATATGAGTCAAGGAGGATTGGAACTGCAAGAAAGAATTGCTGTTTTTTTCTTTCTGGAGGCTCATTTCTCATCTGCCTGAGGCCCTAACTGGGGAGGGGGACGTTGATGATTATATGGGATGGGACATTTCAATTTCTAATCTGAAACTATGTTTTACAATTTAAAATGATCCTAGGATTTCATATTCTCTAAAAGTAACCAAAACACTTATGAGATGCTTAAATATTCACTTAACAGAGTAGGGGCACCATTAGCCCTCTTGTGCTGTTTGAAAGAGAGAGTGGACTGCAAAAATTATTTTCTGTTTGCATTTTCTTGTTTAATATATGGGCTACCTACACAGTGTTAGAAAGTTATTTAGCTTCACTAAACATGTTTTTTCACTATTATTGAGATGCTTAAATAAGATAATATATGTAAATGATTGAATACAATTTAAAATACACTCATCTACCACTCTTGTGAATAGCGCCCTGAAGTCCTTCCCTACAATTGCTAGCTTCCTGTGGCCCTTCACATCCCCTTTCCTTTGACTTCTTCCCTTCATGCAATTCTTCTTTCTTCCTTCTGAGTCAGAATTGCTGTCACAAAACTCTTGCACTTTTGATTGTGAAAAGTAACAGGAAACAGGAAAGACTACATCAAAAACATTAGGTTGACATCAAAGAATTATCTTTAAAAAATGGGAAAAGAAACATCAGAGATATACAAACAATTTATACCAGATAAAAGAATTTGAAAAGTAAAAACAAAAAATAGGGTCTTTTCTGGAAGAATCGATCAGCTATTCAGCTAGCTATTACCTAGATATTAAAAATGAAAACTTCTAATGAAGCCTCTGAATTGTGGAGATAAAAATGAATTTTGTTTATAAGATTATATTTAATAAGGCAACGACAGAGGAACTTAAAATAGCTTGTTATCAAATATCACATTAATAGGTAATGCTAGTGATCAGAGAGTTGAAAGATGTGTAATTCAATAAAGTTTCAGTATTTATTCATAAAAATAAACACCTCAGTAAATAAATTAGTGCTAGTAGAATCACTCAAAAATAGTGTTTTTAACGGCTGACTACTTATGGCCAACAGTATATTTAGTGATACAATAATAAAGCATGCTTGTAAAACCTAGAAATAAAAGAAAATGGCTGGGATTATTATTATTATTTCCTATTGGTACAAAAACAATAGTCAATGAAATAAAACATCAAAAAGAAATAATTCAGATACTTTCTTGAAAATGATGAAACAAATTTTTGCTCTTAGAAGTAAACAATCCAAGATTATCACCTTATGAATTATTGTAATTAATAATAATCTCTGTTGTGAATTATTTTGAATGAACATATCAGTCAGTAATTGTCATATACATGGCAATAACTAATTTGAAGATGTAACAATTCCCAGGATGATTTTTAAATTGGAATACCCTACATAACAAGGTAATGAGTGGGGTCCAGGGAGGAGGGATATAAATATAGAACACAAGCCAAACAGGGAAAGTTGAATAAATGGAGAATCATACAGTGCTTCTTGAGAAGAAGAGCAAGGTTGTAATTGTGACAAATCACCAGAAGTTCATTTATATTTTTAAACTAATCTCAATCAAAAATTACAAGAAAAATACTCTCATTCTCACATGGAAAATTAAAGAGATTAAAACAGTTCAATAGCAAAAATCATATTTTTAAGCAATGTTGATATCATGGGGCTTGAATTTTTAGTCCAACTTGTAAATGATTTTAAAATATGCAGTAAAGCTGTAATCACTTAAAGCATAGAAAAATGATGACACAGAAAAGAGAAAGTAACATGAACTAAAATAGGGCTTTAAACATTTTCCAAGAATATATATCAAATATAATGTGATATTTTAAATGAAGTATCATAGATTTCAGGAAAGAAGAAAAACTACTTAACAAGAGCTACTGTAATTATTAAGTCAATTATAAAAATAATAATTTACATTATTTTTACATAATATTCTAAAGCAAATTCCAGAAGATTATAGTTTAAAAATAATAAAATAAGCCACGAAGGTGAAAACCCAACAGCTTTGATTCAAAATATTTAATAAGTCTATGCTTCAAAAGGTATTACAAACCCACTTAAAAGATAATCAACAAACAGGAAACCTATATTTAAAAATATATATGCCAAAAACAAGGTTAATAGCTATATTCTCTAATGAGTTTACAAAATTGAAATTAAATGAAGTGAAGTTCTCAGTAGTTAAAAGATAATTCACTAAAGAGAATATATAAATATCTAATAATCATATGCAGACTTTCAACTTAAGTAATCAAAGAAATGCAAATTAAAACAATGGGATATCATCTTCACCTTTAAAATGAGCAATTATGTTTCTGAAAGACTGATGAAATGCAAATTGTCACATAATTACCAGTCTGCAGGTTTTTTACTCATTCATCATTTTATTTATCCATTAAGCAAATAATTGTTCAAAACTAACTATGATTATGGTTCATGGCATTCAATTAATAGCTGTACCTTTCACCTCCAGACTTCCTGATTCTCTTGGCTCACAATAGGTGTGCCATCTTCTTTTAGATTAATTCCTCTATTTGCCTTCTATTACATTCCTATGCACATGATGTCTTTCTAACAAGCACAGAAGAATGTTTCTTGCTTTATTGGAGGATTGAAGAGCTTATATTAGTTTCCTATTGCTGCTCCAACCAATTACCATAAACTTGGCGACTTAAAACAACACACATTTCATCTTACAGTTGCGGTGGTCAGAAGTCTAAAGAGGATCTCACTGAGCTAGAATCAAGGTGTTTGCAAGGCTGCATTTTTTTCTGGAGGCTCTAAGACAAAATCCATTTTCTTGCCTTTTCCAGCTCTGGAGGCTGCCCACATTTCTTGGCTCATGGTCCTTTCCTATATTCAAAGTCAATGATGATTGTTTGAGTCTTTCTCATGACATCGTCTCTCTGCTTTTGATTCTTCTGCTTCCCTCTTCTTCATTTAGGAACCCTTGTGATTTCATTGGGACCACCCAGATAATCTCTTCATTTTAAGGCCGATAATTAGCAATCTTAGTTCCATCTAAGATCCCATCTTCCTTATCATGTAATACATTTACAGGTTTCAGAGACTAGGATATAACATTTCTGGCAAGGGTCAGGGGGTGGAAGAACAGGGTGGTGGGCGGGGGGATTACTAAATCTACCACAGTAGACTGGAAAAAACCATAGATTCTTAGTCATATTGTTCTGGTTTCGGATTTTCACTTTTTCACTTGTGTTCTATATTTGTGACACTGTACAAAATTTATAACTTCTTACACTATGGGTCTTCATTTGTACAATTAGAAAAACAAACAAGCTATTATAAAGATTAAAGATATCTCTAGTACACAGCAAACATTTAATAAATGGCAGCTATTGTCATTATTCAAAAAATTTACCAACATTTTGGCTTCAACCCAAGTCATACCTCCACAGTGGCCATTAACATACGTCCAATGAGGCCAATATTTCTCCCTGTGGCTTCCATCTGAACATACAGCAAAACAATCAAACAGCAATTTCGTGACAACCATTGTGCTTACACCACCAAAATTCATTTCCCAAATACAAATAGTACATTTATTGTAAACTTCAAAACACTCAAAATAATAGATATCATTTGGTTCTATTGGTGATTTAAATGTAAAAGGATTTAATTGTGAAACCAGAGAGATTATTAAAGAAATCAATGGAAGTAGAGGAATGATTTTACAAGCTTATTGTGAGGGGAGAGGGAATGCTATGTTTATTTCAGGTATGTAAGTAGATAAAGTGGAATATAGAGTGATATTCTGGGAGTTATTTGTAATCACAGATTAAGTATGTATTTCCTGATCATTATTGCTTATTGATTTGTAGGGATTTGCATATTATTGCTCCCATTATCCATTCTGGGTTAATGGAAAAATTTTGTACTGAGGGAATATTAATTAATGCTTTACTGGTACTCAGAACTTAGCATTACAGCTATGTTTCATGGTAAAAAAAAAAAAAAAAACAATAAAACCAATTACAAAATAAACTATTGACATAATAGAAAATAATTTTGGTGAAAGAGTCACATATCTGGTGAGATGTAAAGCATAATACATCTGATGGCTCTTAATATGATTCAAGCAGATAACAAATGACTGTGCCTTGAAATCGTTCTTTCTCAACTCTCTCTGTCAAAATCCTACCTGTTCTTAGCTCAATTTACCCATTATTAGATGTTTCTTATTTTATATGTTCATAGCCTTTATCAAACTATATAATAGCACAGTATATAGATTCACCTTTAATTAGATCTTATAAACTTGATTCATGGAGCTGTGTCTTGATTGTGGGATTATCCACCCCCCAACATGGGAGCTTGCATTATTCCCCAAACATATTTGTACTCAGTAAATTCCAGCTGAATCAAAGTAGATCACTGAATCATACAAAGATCAAAGATCTGCAATAACAGAGCTATGAAACCAACATTAAAAAAAAAAAAAACATGAGATAACTCAAAAGCCTTGACATTTCAATTTATTTGGTTTTAGAACATGGCTTTATGAAATGTGTTAGCACTGTAAATCCCCTAATCCTCGAGCAGCCACCTACACTTAGGTGCTCAGGAGGCATATCAGATAACACGCCAGGTCCATCAATATACAGTACTATCTAGCCAGGTCTTTGACCTCAAGCCATGTATGGAGAGGTGGGTGAAAACTTTCCCGGTCTTTTCTGTGAGGACTGCGTCTGTCCCTCCAGCTTCAACCTGGAGTAGATGTATACTGTAGCTTTCTCAATACATTTGCTGAGCCCCTGAAGATTTCCCTCTAGGGAAACAGGTTTTCCTCTGGCCAGAGGTCAAACACCCAAGGTTGCACACCTGAAGTGTTAAAGCCCACTTGCATGATCTGGGCAAAGATAAACTTCATAGTGTCATCATTAAAATAAATACATAAATAAAATAAACAAATAAATAAGAAAAAAGAATCAGAATGCATCTAGGCAGAGCATTCACTTTCACATGGGGCAGGCATCATGATTCCCCGCTGCGACTGCCCACATTCATGGTATCTCTCTGGCTCTGGATTTGTGTAACTTTTCAATTTCTGATAATTTGAAGAAACGTATCCTAAATCACCCACCTCAGATGCTCCATGATGGTGCACACATCATCTTCCAAATTTATGGTCTTTTTCTGGGGCAATGTATGTCCGTGTACGTGAGTGTCTAGATCCTAGGTCTGCCTCATTGTATCAGGTATTTGCGAACACAGGAGGAGTGATCTTTGACTTAGTTAAAAAAAAAAAAAAAGAGAGAGAGAAAAAAATAACTATCCACAGAAGGCTTTCTTAGGCTTTGCTACTACCTTAAAAAATCTCCACCATGCAGAGGCTGCAGTGAGCCAAGACTGTACCACTGCACTCCAGCCTGGGCAAGAGACTGAGACTCTGTCTCAAAAAAAAAAAAAAAAAAAAAAAAAAAAAAAAAATATATATATATATGTATACTTCACCATGTGTTAGCAATGCCAGGTTTGTCTTCCAGATCTATGAAATTTCCTCTTCTTTCCCTCAGAGTAGGGGAGGGGACTCTAAAAGTTCTGTCAATATTCAATGGAATTCAGATATACATTTCAAACCAAACAACTGCTCTGCAAAGACTCCATCCAGAAATTCTTTAAAGTTTATCAATAGAGTTTTTCTCAGTTCATTTATACTGTCTTCTGCCCAAGCCTGGGAAGGAGTTAACAGATTTTTTTTTTTAGGGGGATGAGAAATTAGTAATAAGTATCTTGAATTTTTTTTAAATAATGATTTTCTTTCAAACAAGATTATCCTGAGGGAATGATCACGACAATAGCTACTTAGTGTAGATTATTATGCATTGAATCAGGCACTTTTTGTAAGCCATCTCATTTGGCCACACACAGAACTACTTGAGGAAAACATCTTTAGCTCCATGTCGAAGATTAATTCAACAAATTCATTCAATTATTTATTGTTTACTATCTGCCTGACACTATTCTATGTGCTGAGAGATAACAGATAATGAGACAGACAAAAATCTCTGGGTCAGAAACTTACATTCTAATTGGGTGAGCAAACCACAAATAAATAAGTAAAATGCATAGTACATTACTTTTTCCAGATGGTGATAATTGTCATGAATTAAAATCAAGCAGAAGAAAAAGATGGTAATGTCAGAGTCAGGGTACGGGTTTATAATCCTAAACAGGTTTCTTTAGGACCCCATTGAGAAAGTGATACCTTAGCTAAAACCTAGGGGAAATAAAATTATGAACAATAGTGAAATGCTGGAATGAAGAACATTACTAACCACTATAAATGATAATAACAATGAGTGATGTAATAATAAGAATGTAATAGATTTCTTACAGAACCCAAGATTATGTTAATCTAGAGCTTGCTCTCTGAACCACTGTTTTTTTGTTTGTTTTGTTTTGTTTTGTTTTGTTTTGTTTTTCTTTTGAGACAGAGTTTTGCTCCTGTTGCCCAGGCTGGAGTACAATGACGCGATCTCGGCTAACTGCAACCACTACCTCCCAGGTTCAAGCGATTTTCCTGCCTCAGCCTCCCTAGTACCTGGGATTACAGGTGCCTGCCACCATGGCCAGATAATTTTTTTTTTCTTTTCTTTCTTTTTTTTTTTTTTTTTTTTTTTTTTTAGTAGAGACAGGGTTTTACCATGTTGGCCAGGCTGGTCTCGAACTCCTGACCTCAGGTGATCCACCTGCCTCGGCCTCCCAAAGTGCTGGGATTACAGACATGAGCCACCACACCCGGCCTGAACCAATGTGCTATTAATAGCAGTGTGCATAATTCTCTGGTAATTAATAATTAAAATTAAACAAAGTCATGAATTTTACTACAGTGTTAGTGGTTGTTCTGAATGCACATTAGTAATCTGTAATTCACAGACTTAGATTTTCGACTCCAGTACTTAACGCCATGACGAAAGTTTCCATTTTGATTTTTTTTTAATACTTTAAGTTCTAGGATACATGTGCAGAATGTGCAGGTTTGTTACATAAGTATACATGCGCCATGGTGGTTTGCCGCACCCATCAACCCGTCTGTTTTGATTTCTAACCAGACAGATGTGTCTGCATTTTACCTAATGGACCAGCAGGTAGAAGTCAGAGTTTAAAATTATGATGAGGATTGCACAGACGCTGTTCTTTTGATGTTTCAAATGTGCTTTCTATGTAGCCCCATCTGCATTTACCAAAAAAGAGATACAAATCCATTTAAATTGTATATAAATTCTCTAACAACAAAATTACAGGATATCAGTTCTCTCATGTTATAGTGACTTTTATAACTGTCTTCAAGACATTATGCTTTGCCGTTTGCGTATAACAAAATTAAAGTTTCCAAAAGTATTAAAGTCTTTTCTACCCCTTGATCATTTTCAGGGCTATGAAATCTCCAGTATCGGTTACTCTTAAGTTAACATAAGCAACCTACCATCAGTCACTAAACCTTTAGTAGGTCATGTAAGAGGAAAATGGGAAACTCAACATTTATTGAGCCCATATTTTAAGACAAGCCTTTTTTTTTTTTTTTTACTTTATTCTAATATTTCATCGATATGGAGAATCCTTCATAACTATGAGACCAAAAAGACGTCCGAGCTGTGTATTATTTTCTCTCATTCATTACTTAGAAAACTGAGGTTCAGAAAAAATTAAGTCACTTGTATAAATTCGCAGAGTAATTATTATATAGCTGAGAACCCTGCTTGGGATTTCAGAAAATGTCCAGAGTTGCTCAGCCAGTAAGTGACAGATCTACACAGCGAAACGGGAAAGGTGCCCTCGCCCCCCTCGCAGGGCGCGCGGCGGGGCTGCGGCTCGTTTCTCCGGTGCCCGCTGCCCGGAGCTCTAGGGGAGCGCACGGACACTCAGGCTGTGGGGCCGCGAACCCGCGGCAGCGCCCGGGGGGGAGCGTTTGCAGCTCCCAAGGCTCCTTGGGCGCGTGTTACGGGGGTGCTTTTTCACTGTTGCCACCCGCAGGCTGCTTGCGCTCACCAGCTCCGTTAGGCCCTCTGCCTTATGGCAAGGACAGGGGGCTTTCTGTAACCCAGGTTCTTACCTTAGTGCACCGGAGAAATCGGATCGCACGTCGGCTGAGAGAATGAATGCAAGCTTTTCTATTGAGTGGTGGTGGCTGGGGAGGCCAGAAGGGGCTGGTTGTCCCCCCGGAGTCCGCCTCGGTCAATCCCCGCGTCGTTCCACCGGTCGATGGCCTGCCGCAGTCTGCCGGCGCCTGTCGCTGTGCTCTTCCACCGATGTGTTCCTCTCGACGCCCGGCCACTTGTGTGTTCTTCGGCTGGTGTGTTTCTCTTGACGCCCAGCTGCTTGTGTCTCCGCTCGCTAGGGTCTCGGGGTTTTTACAGGCAGAGGGTGGGGGACATGGCGGGTCAGGGTGGTCTGGGAAAATGCAACATTTGGGCGGGATAACAGGCTTGCCTGTCCTCACCTAGGTCCGTGGGCACAGGCCCGAGGGTGGAGACATAGCCAGAGACCCGTTTTTCTCTATCTAGCACTTCCCTGCTCCCCTCCTGTGTCAATAGGATTGAGCCCCAATTGATATATGTTTTCCCAGGACATCAAGCTGTCTCTAATACATCCAGAAGAAATAGGAAAGAGATCATATCAATAATGATTAAATGAGAAGGTCTCTGGGCATGTAAAGCCATGCGGACAGACTGGACTCTGAAAGCCATCTGCAGAGTCCACCAGGAGGCAACGTGCAGTAAGCATCCACATGAGTGGTAGGTAGTGTTGCTACATAGAGCAGAAGTCAGATTACTGAGAGATGGAACACACAGAGGTCTCTTGGGAGAAGTGTAGTTTAATAGAGCCTGGAAGCATGAGGAGGAATTTAATAATAAAGAACAGTTGGGAACCAGAAAAAGAACAAAAAAGGAAAACGAGGCAATGCCCGTGAGGCAAGGGTTGGTACATAATGGTTGTCACAGAGCAATGGCGGGCCCTGAAAGATGAGTGCATCTGCCTTACACTTTTGCCCAGTGCCATCCCTGCTTAACATTGATAGAATAATTATTAGGGCCCAATTATACAATAAGCCTCAGTGATTTATGATGCTGTACAACCAGCACTGAATCAACCTGTCTCAGTAGCCATAAGTCTGCATAAAATTTTAATTACGAACATCATAAGTTGGTCAGAGCACATGGAGAAAAATTGATTATGAATTTATGATGCAGTGAATTTTCCTGCTGAGTCGCTCTCCTCCTGATCAGGGCCTGGAGACAGGATGACAAAGGCATGTAGGAGAAGCTAGATTCTTGACAAATGACTTGCTCTCTTTTAAAAGTGAAACTGGAGACTGGAGCAATGAGCACGTGCCAGAAGGGATGTCAAGAGACATCAGCTGGCTTAGTGACATTTTCATCCTGGCCTCAGGTGAAGTGCAGCTACCAGAGCTGTGACAGTGACATGCTAACCCACACTGGCATATGACAGGATAGAACTAAGCCCAGGGATAGTCTTGGCTTGCTTAACAGCTCTTTCAACATTGCTAATGTAAGAGGATTTCCCAAATAGGTGAACTATGTTTTCTCTTTACGATTTTATGGTTCAATAAGCATTTATTGAGAGCTGATGACGTGCCAGAAATCCAGTGACTGGTTGTTGTGATTTTTATTGCTATGGTTTCTTTCTTTTCTTTCTTTCTTTCTCTTTCTTTCTTTCTTTTCTTTTCTTTCTTTCCCTCTCTTTTTCTCTCTCTCTTCCTTTCTCTCTCTCTTTCTCTTACTCTTTCTTTCTTTTTCTTTTTCTTTTCTTCCCCTCTTTCTCTCTTTCTCTCTCCTTCTCTCTCTTTTTCTCTCTTTCTTTCTTTCCCTCTCTCTTTCTCTCTTTCTTTCTTTCCCTCTCTTTTTCTCTCTCTTTCTTTCTCTCTCTTTCTCTCTTCTTTCCTTCTTTCTTTCCTTCTTTCTTTCTTTCTTTCTTTCTTTCTTTCTTTCTTTCTTCTTTCTTTCTTTCTTTCTTTCTTTCTCTTTTGATGTAGCCTAGCTCTGTCTCCCGTGCTGGAGTACAGTGGCATAATCTCAGCTCACTGCAACCTCTGCCTCCCAGGTTCAAGTGATTCTGTCACCTTCTGCCTCCCAAGTAGCTGGGACTACAGGCACACACCACCACACTCGGCTATTTTTTGTATTTTTAGTAGAGACGGGGTTTCATCATGTTGCCCAGGCTGGTCTTGAACTTCTGATCTCAGATGATCCACCCACCTAGGCATCCCAAAGTGTTGGGACTACAGGCATGAGCCAACCGCGCCTGGCCTGTTATGGTTTCTTTCTAATTTTGTCTTGAGGTCTCTCTCTTGAAAGTAGCCAGAAGCCAGCTGGGCACAGTGGCTCACGCCTTTAATCCCAGCACTCTGGGAGGCCGAGGCAGGTGGATCACCTGAGGTCAAGAGTTCTAGACCAGCCTGGTCGACATGGGGAAACCTCATCTCTACTAAATACACAAAAATTAGCAGGGTATGGTGCTGTGTGCATGTAATCCCAGCTACTCAGGAGGCTGAGGCAGGAGAATAGCTTGAACCTGGGAGGCAGAGGTTTCAGTGAGCCAGGATGGTGCCACTGCACTCTAGCCTGGACAACAAGAGTGAAACTCCATCTCAAAAAAAAAAAAAAAAAAAATGTAACCAGAAGCCAAGGCAGCCACTCTTTAGGGGAGCAGGAGAGTCCTGACTGAGGAAATAGTTAGGTTCGAGTCAAATGAGAGACGATGAGGAAGTGAAACCAAATGCTTGTAACAGATGAAATTTATGACTCATGGGTCCCAGAGATGTTAGGGGAGCTGATGGGAGGCCGACAAGAAGCCTGGAGGTGACAGGGAGCAAAAACCAGCAGATGGGGAGCAGGAGAGAGGACCTGTGCAACTCTGCCTTTAATAAGGTCCAGGCTGTTAACCCTCTGCCTTCTGGCAGGAATTGGTCACTGGTGGGGGACTTATTTACATGACTCTAGTGTTTACCATAAGGCTTTATTGTGGTCAGTGGCTAGGAGATGTGTTGGATTTGGGGTCAGTGGGATGAGGAACGAGCAGGCTATATTTCAACCAAATAGGGAGAGAAAGTTTTAACTAAGCCAAAGGTGACAGGATACAACCAGATTTCAAAAAACTGATATAAGAGCTAAAAATGGATGCCAACACAGCAACTGTATTAAATAGATGTATGATACTGGTCTGTGTGTGTGTGTGTGTGTGTGTGTGTGTGTGTGTGTGTGTGTAGAGGCCTGGATGTTTGACCTAACTGCAGACAACTTTGCAGGGTGAGTATAGATGCAGAACTTCCTGAGGGAGTGGCCAAGTCTTTGTAACTGCAACTACTTCTCCCTCTGCCCCTTCCATTTTCTTCATTTCCCCTAGAAGTGGTGATCCAGAGAATACTCCTATAAAAACTTTCTGTATTCGTCCCCATCTCAGAATCAGCTTCACAGGGAGCCGGACCTCCAAAGCTGCATATTATTTGTAGAAACTTGTTTCCTGGGTAAGCACCCAGAGCTTTACACAAGTGAAAACATGTATTAATATGCTCTTGCATCTTTTCTTCATTTATTTACTCCAATATGTTTCATTAGTGCTTACTATGCAGCAAGCACTCCATTAGCCATTAGGGATAGAGAGGTGAAATAAAGCTCCCCACTGAAATTGTTCACAGCCCAGTCAAGAAGACAAACTAACGATAACCATTTGGTGTGGTAAACAGTGTGATCAAGGACAAGGAGCTGTGGGAACACCGAAGAGGGATACCTACCTCAATACGATTATTGGAAAAGGGTCAGGCAAGTCTCTGGAAATGGTAGCAGTTGAACCAAGTAGAAGTGTAGGCCATATGTTGCTTCTGGCTGAACACACGACTGGGGAGGTAATCAGCAAGGAGGGAGGGCAGGCTCTGCCAGCTGGTACTGAATCCGAGCTGGTGCTCCTACACACACAGTCAGACAAAAGGCCCTGCACCAACATTCCAGGAAAATTCTGCCCATTTCCGTAGTCTGTCCATCTGTGAATCACCTTCAGTCTAATTTCCTGGTTTCTCCTGGATTATAATCACAATTAGAGTGTGAAATTGGCAACCCCCCACCTCTGGACTTTGCAGAGGGATTGCCTTCTTCATACATAATAAACAAAGAAGTTGACAACCTCTGCACCAAGGCCACTAAAAACATGTGGTTGAGTAGTTCAAATGTAGGCTATTGATGTTGAATCTCTGACTAAAGGGCTCCACAGGTGTGATTAGCATAACTTTTTATGTTACTGAAGTCAATATTCTGAGGCAGCTACTTCTGCACATTCCAAATTTAAGCTGCTAATGAATTAGTAAACAGGACTTAGGCTGAAACTGATGCACAGAGTTTCGACTCCCCACTCCCCACTCCCCACTTAACTCTAGTAGCTTGAAAGATACAAAATACTCCTTTAATTTTGTAGTCTTTAAAATGAGTTAATAATAAAGCCACTCTGATTCTCTATCTCTGTGAATACATAAATAGATGATTGATAGATATTATTAAATGATAGAGCTATAGATAGATGAGATAGATGATAGATGATAGATAGATAATGATAGATAGACAGGTGATAGATAGATAGGTAATGGAGAGATAATGAATAGATAGAAACACAGAATGATTAAAAAAAGCAATCATACCCCAGCTCAATTGTAGCTTATTAGAGAAAAAAGAAAGAACTAAAAGGCTAAAAAGCACAAACAACCTACTGATCCACATGATGTTTTAAAAATATACTGGCCTGGAAATCTGAAGACCAACTGTTTTAGCTTGGTTTAAAACAGGCAAATACATAAAGGAACCCAGGTGTTTACACTGTCAGAGAACAAATAATGTGGTTACATTTTACAGTATATTTAAGCAATGACATTTCAGACATTTATGTCTTGAGTAGGTAGACGTAATATTTGACGTGGTGGAAGGTGTTTATGATGTGTGAAATAAATATAAGACAGACTACCAATAGCTAATAAATAAAATAAAAATGTTAAACATCACTAGTAAATTAAAAGTGAGAAATGTGAACTATTAAACTGGCAGATTGTGCCCAGTATCATTGACTGTGAAGACACTATGGCCTTCTTGTGCACTGCAAATGTTTGTGTAAACTGATAACACCATTCCAAGAGACAATTTTGCCTGTGTCAAGAGCCCTAAAAAATATATGTGCTTTTACCCACCAATTGACCTTCTAATAATTTATATTAGAAAAAAACCACAGCCACCACCACCATCATTGCTATCACTGGTGGTAACCCAAGACAAAACTTTATATTAGAGATTGTTTGCTGTAAAATTTTTATAATGCCAAACTATAATTGCAAATGTCTAATATCTTGTCAAAGGATATATAAATAGACAATTCACAGAAGAGTAAATCCAAATGGTTGACAAACAGGAAAAATTGCTTAAACTCAATAGTAGCAATCTGAAAAATATAGAATGTATCAAATTTTGGTATCAGAATTGCAACTATTTAAAAGACTGATAAGGTCTATTGCTCTTGAGATATTACTGAAATTCACATTCAAACATTGTTAGTTAAAATGTGCATGTGTATTGTCATTTTTGAAAAGAAATCTGATGATGCTATTAACATTAAAATGCATATATTCTTTGACTCTGCTCATCTGCTTCAATAAATTTATCCCGTGGTCTCAACAGAAATGATATTTAAGGTTGGGCACAGTGGCTCATGCCTGTAATCCAGCATTTTGGAAGGCTGAGGCAGTTGGATCGCTTGAACTCAAGAGTTGGAGACCAGCCTGAGTAACATGGTGAAACCCCGTCTCTACAAAAAAATACAAAAAATTAGTTGGGGGTTGTGGCGCATGCCCGTAGTCCCAGTTACTCTGGGGTGCTGAGGGAGGAGGATCACTTGAGCCCGAGAGGTGTAGGTTGCAGTGAGATTGTGCCAAGAATGCGCCACTGCACTCCAGCCTGGGTGACAGAGCCAGGCCCTATCAAAAAAAACAAAAAGGTATTTAAGATATCAATGCTTCTTGCGGTATTGTATACAGCAGACACACAAAGAAAGGTAAATATGTATCATAGGGAAATAGTTGAATGAGTTATTGTATATCCACATGATGAAATATTTTGGAACTATGTAAAATAAATTACAATTATATCAGTTAACTTAGAGATTTCAATAAAGTATTATTGGATGAGGAAGAAAATTGTAGAAAAATGTGCATATGATCTAATTTTTAAAAAATTAGGACTACACGATATGTATCACACAGAGTATTAAAACCATATTTAGCATATTTGTGTCTATGTGGGTGTGTATATACCACAAGAGTGATGAAAAATACGGAGAATGTATCCAAGGTGATAAATATAACTTATGTAAATGAGGGTGGGGTAGGAAGACAAGCACAAAAAAACAAAAAACAAAATATTGTATGTAAATACCAAAGACAGCATATATGATACAATTTCATTCATATATTTATGTAAAATTGTATGTGTATATACATAAAAATTGTATGTGTATATACATAAAAATTGTATGTGTATATACATACATAGGAAGACAAGCACAAAAAACCAAAATATTGTATGTAAATACCAAAGACAGCATATATGATATAATTTCATTCATATATTTATGTAAAATTGTATGTGTACATACATAAAAATGTGTTTTTTAAAGCAAAAATTAATTTTCACAAGACTCAGGGAACGTTAGTAAAAGTGCATCTTCCTGACTTATTTTTCTCAGCCATATTTGGAATGGGGAACTGGGGTGCTGTGGTTCATAAAGAACCCCGGGTCATTCCGATGCAGGTTGTCCATACACTACGTGTAAACACCCACTGCTGTGAAAAAACAGTGACGACGAGGAAACATTTACAATTTTGTCCTTCGTGACTTCAAACAGAATGAGGTGTCTGTCTCTTCATCTTCAAAGCCCAACATCTCCTAAAGAGTATCCCGGAGGTATGGTTATGCTTGGGAAAGCACCCGATTAAGGATTTGCTTGCGGAGCTGGGATTATGCCTCCTAGCCTTATCAATGAGGATGTTTCCTCTATCCAGATCCTCAATTTCACTCAGCTGTGAAGAATTCTGGAACTCCTACTTCAGCCCACATAGCTGGAGTGTCTAGCAAAAGGTTACCGAGCAATATTGTGCTTTATCACAAAGCTGTAATCCTACTAGAAAATGAGGGATGATCTTGCAGATTACACACTTCATAAATATTCTTCTCCCCATCTGTGTGCCTCTATTATATCTATTTTAAATGTCAATTCATTGGTTTAAGGAACAATACACTATGCTAAGTCTCAGAACATCGTAGTCTTTGATAGACGATGATTATAGTTCATAACAAAATCACATATTAGCAAAAAATGTATCTATGCTTTTGTGCAAATTAACACTGGAGTTACTTTTACAGTTTAATATGAAAGAGTGATTGTGTGACTGTCAAAAACAAATAGGACTCATTTCTGTAAAATGCAGAGCCATTTTTACAACTGGAAACTGACTTGCTTAAAGGCATAATAACATATATAGAGGAAATCCTAGAGTTAGCAGTTACTGAATAGTCTCTCCCCAATAAAGTGACAGTCTAGTGGGGTAGTGAGGACAGAACTTTCGCAAACAGGACCATATCAAGTGTATTTAATACCTGAAATAGATACGTCTTTAGCATTTTCCTCCTCTCTATACCCAAGTTATTTTAGAATTAATCATATAAATAAACAATAACATCAGAAAAGCTTTCTTAAATTGTCCCAGTTAATAGTCATGTCAATAAATAATAATTACTATTTAAAAATAATAGATTAAGCCTGGGCATGGTGGCTCACACCTGTAATCCCAGCACTTTGGGAGGCCAAGGCAGGCGGATCACCTGAGGTCAGGAGTTCAAGACCAGCCTGGGCAACATGGCGAAACCCCATCTCTACTGAAAATACAAAAATCAGCCGAGTGCAGTGTTGCGTGCCTGTAATCCCAGCTATTCGGGAGGCTGAGGCAGGAGAATCACTTGAACTCAGGAGGTGGAGGTTGCAGTGAGCCGATATTTTGCCGCTGTACTCCAGCCTAAGCGACAGAGAGAGACTCCATCTCAAAAAAAAAAAAAAAGAATAGATTAAAAATTTTAATTATACTTTATTCAAAGAGGGAAGAGGTATAAAGCATCCTTTCAAAAGAGTAAATTCCTCTAAGTTCATAGAATTATTTACAGTTAGAATGACAGAGTTGAAGCAACTAAAGTTCTATGTCTTTATCTTTATAATCACTGTGCTATCATTGTTTATTTCAAATTTGCTGCCTCGATACAGAAATATGTACAACAGTGGTGGGAGAGAGGGCTGCACCTAAGAAAAGCCTGCATGAACCTGAGCTGTTTAATGAGTTGATATTACAGTTCTCTAGGGAAATTAGTGTGCCAGCTGGGTGTTTTCTGAATTAACTCTGATATATTAAAAACAGGTTATTTTGGGGCTTACGTATAGATTATTAAAACCTGCACAGTAACCATAGTACTTGTGTAACATTTAGACCAGCAAACTATTTTTTCAGAGAGAAAGATTTTTCACTGACATTGTTTAAAGTTGCTGGAACATAGTGACAATAAAAACCAGACCACCTTTTAGATCACTTTATTATTTTTTAATAAGAAGAATTTTATTATGTAGATTATTTTATGATATTTAATTATTTTACAGACAATGCCCTCTGTGATCTCCTGCCTCTGGGAGACTGCTCCTCATACCCCATGTTTGTACGCCCACCCTTGCAACCCCCATGAAGGGCTGAATTGGATTCCAGAGTATAGCCAATGTAGCTGAATAGAGGACATCACTTAAGACCTTTTTCAAACTGTGTAATTTTAAGAAGTGTTGTCTCCCATCACCCACCATATACAAAGAGCCATAGGCAAGTTCAAAGATGGAGAATATTTAGTCCTCATGTCCTCTTCCTTCACTCATCACAGACATTCTTAATCCTTCACAGGACTTCCTTTCCAGTGAGCGGGACTTCTTTTCCAAAGGCATGTCTTTGGAAGCCTTACAAAAATATAGTCTAGGAAATACATTCAATTGTTCAGTGTTGGCCTGAAAGTTGAAAACTCTTTGCCATCCCTGCCTTAAATCTTTAACCTGGAACACAAAAGAAGTTTACTGTCTATTGAAGAGGGCCTGGTCCCCCGTGGACCCTCCGGCAGTAATGCTCAGGAAGGATGTGTGCTGCTTGTACTTGCATGTGAAAGGCAGGGTGCAGTCTTTAGTCCTACTAGAGCCTGGAAAAAATCATAAGCCCCTGAGAAGCCAAGCGTGTGGATCATTTGAGGTCAGGAGTTCGAGACCAACCTGACCAACATGGTGAAATCCCGTCTCTACTAAAAGTACAAAAAAATTAGCTGGGCAAGCTGAGATCGTGCCACTGCATTCCAGCCTGATTCAAAAACAAAAACAAAAAACAAACAAAAAAACAAAAAACGAAACAAAAAAACCAAAGTCCCTAGTATTCGTAAATGAAAAGAACAAGTATTTATTGACAATTTATTATACCATAATTAGATACTCCAACCAAAATTACTCTATTTATAAACAGCAATATGCTACCTACTTTATATTAATTCTAATAAGCTTTGTGACATTACTAAACACTAAAGATGACCAATTTCCAAAAGAATCTAAACTGAGGGAATTTAAGTGACTTTCCCAGTGAATCATGAAGCTGTCATTTGAACCTAAGTCTGCGTAATTTCAGAGCTCAGTTTTCATCACTGGTAAGTGTTCCTCTGCAGATTCAGCTTGCTAATTAAGTTTCAACCTTCCCCAACCGTTGTCTCTTCAACTAACTCTCCCAGGTTGTCACTCATATGGGATGCCTTTGCTTACCCAAAGATGGAACTCTTCACATATGCGTCAGACTTTCATTTTCAACAATGAAAACGGCAGGGAAAAAAGGGATAATCCTAACTGCATGATATCATATGTGGCTACTGACTGAAAGTCAAGAGAACGTGACACAAGGCCAGCATGAATTTATTAAATAAAAGTTTGTCAATGACATACTCACTGCCAGGTCCTGTGCTGGGTGTTGGGAACTGAAACAGAGGGGATAACATCATACACTTTTCCTTAGACTACGTTTCAAGTTTCTAGCATGCAAATAATTCAGAAAGTGCTGTTTTAAAGAATTAGAGCATTTCGTTGAAAACATTTTTGTTGCTGCTAAAGATATAAGAAGTGCTTTGTATATGGTACATTCATGCTTTATGCATCATCAGAGGCATGCCAACTTTCTCTTACGTTTGTGGGAAATGAAGTGCCTCTTGATTCACTAGCAGTGCTGTCTCATATAATCAAGCATGTTGAGATTCCAAGGGCTCCCTACCTACACTCTGCCCTCCTTATCTCCAGGATTCATTTCTAACTAACACAGTCTGATGTGATCCTCATAAGAATGGGCAGGTGCTCGGAAAAGTTGTGAGCTTGGTGAATTTATTCCTGTTGCTCTCTTTCTCCCAGCCTGTGCTTCTTTTCTTCAAGTTCCTGTGATATTAATGTTACCTGAGATTTGTGTGGCCTGAACTAGACAACGAATGAGTAGTGGACCTCTCCACTGGCTGTAGAGATGGGATTTGAAGCCAGACTTTATTACAACTTCCTATTCTGCTGTTCAAGACCTGTTCGGCCTTTGGCATTTTTAAACCTAAAAATGAAAAGTCTAATCGACATATTAGACATATTTTTAATTCCCTCATTTGAATTACCCTTATCTCTAAACCAGTGGTTTTCAAACGGGGATGATTTTGCCCTCCAGGGGACATTTGGCCAGGTCTGGAGACATATTTGGTTATTACAGTTGGGAGGGAGGAGAGTTGTGCTACCGGCATCCGGCAGGTGGAGGCAAGGGATGCTGCTTAAGCATCTTAAGATGTGTCAGCCCAGACTCACGACAAATAATTATGCAGCCCTACATTTCAGTAGCACGAAAGTAAAAAGACGCTGCCCTGCTCTCTCTCACATACCAACTGTTTCTATTCATGCTTGACCATGAAGAAGGTGGGCATAATACAGAAAGCAGAGCCCAGTCCTTGCAGCCTGTATGTACTAAGGGATATCTCAAACTGAGACAAAAGAGAAGTGAAAGACTGTCTCTTCTTCAGGCTTAAGTTGATTACAAGGAAGGAAGGGAAACGGGACAGGAGAGAGTAGACAATCTAATATATGCCTCAGTCTTTCTCTCTTTGGGCAGTTATTGGCAAAGTAGAATGTACACTTGAAAAATTAAGATGAACCTTAATGTCAGAGAGGTTGCTATGCCAATGAGGATGTTCTGAATTATTAGCAAGGGCTTAGGCAAGACTGAGTTCAGAGTGCAGATGACCAGGAAAAAGAAGAGAGAAAAGGAAAAGAAGGGGAGAGGAAGGAAACAGAAGGGGGAAGAAAAGAGAGAAGAAAGAAGAGAGTGGAGTGAGAAGAGGAAGGAGTGGGGAAGAGGCATTGAAAGGAGCTAGAGGCTTCAGCAGCATTTACTAAAGAACAACTGGGTACATAGCACACTTAATTGCAAGTTACACCCATCCTCTACACCACCAATTGACATCATGGAAAGAAGAAGAGAGGGAAAGAACTCTAAAATGTGCACTTTATTAAAAAATAATTTTTGTAAGTAAATAGAATGTCTGAATTACTGGTTCATGTCAAGTTTACTGAATGGAATGAAAATAATTTAGTTGTATAGGTAGATTATATCAAATCAATAAAAATGACATTTCTTCTATACATCTGAAGATGGTATGTAAATATTTTACTTCATATAGGTTAGCACTAACTTCATAGGCTTGCTGGAAAGAATAAATAAAATAATATGTAAAAGGCATATTACAAAGCGTCTGGCAGAGGGTAAGAACTCAGTAATCCAGAAGGAAACTTGTTTTCTGTTTTAATATGTGTGGCAGACAGACTTTCTGAAATGATGCCCCAAAGATAGCCCCTCTAGTCCCCAAAACCTGTGAATATAATGAGATATTACTCCTATAATTATTGTATGTTGTATGGGACAGTTGACTTGAACATATGGAGATCACCTGAGTATTCCTTATCTAACCACATAAGCATGCAAAAGCAGAGAGTTTTCTCTGGCTCATGGCAGAGAAGGCAGAAAGATAAGACAGAGATGTTTGAAGAACAAGACCTCTACACTTCAGTGTTTTGAAGTTGGAGAGGGTCACAGGAAAAGGAACGCAGGAGGCTTCCAGGAGCGAAAGGTAGACCTGGGACTGAGAGCTAGCAAGGAAACAGGAACGACACACCTACAACTGTAAGGAGCTGTCTCCTTTCAACAACCTGAATGCGCAGGGAAATGGATTCTCCCCCAGGAACTCCAGGTAAGAACCCAGTTGGCCAATTCCTTGATTTGGGCCTTTTGAGATCATAAGCAAAAATCCTAGAGGAACTATGCTGGACTCCTGTTGTACAGAATTGTGAAATAAAAGATACGTGTTGCTTTAAGCTGCTAAGTTTGTGGTGAGTTGCTTTGCAGCAATAGAAAACAGATATATAATGTAACATTATCTAATTCTGTGAGATAACACAACAGATAAAATTTATACTGCCTCTACTTAGTACATACTGCTAAAAGAACTTTAGACACATTTAACAGAGTTCATCTGAGCAAAGAACAATTATTGAATCAGGCAGCACTCAGCACCATAAGGGGTTCAGAGAACTCCACCCAGCAGTATGAGCAATAAGCTTTTATAGGCCAAACACAGAAGCAAAGTCGATAAGTCACCTGATTTGTGGCAATGAGGCATCTTCCTTGTTTGAGCATGTTCTGGTCAGTTGTCTGCCTGTGACTGGCTGAAGCTCAGTTGCTTGTGATTGACTAAAACCTGGCTATTTGTTACAAAAAATACGTCCTAAGTTAAGTTTAAATTTGTTTACTTATTAAGTTGAGGTGTGTTACATAGAAACGCAAAGTATGGAGATAGTTTCAGGCTAATGGCCTCCTGCCTATTTAATTTAACGAAACCCTTACTTTGTTTCTATATCTTTACTATCTTAGTGCATAAGGTACTAAGGTATTTGGATGTCCTCCAACCAGTGGCAGGTTTTCCATGAAACCAGTGGTGCCTAAGTGCCCTTCATTTGTATGAGCCTTGCCCAAGGGTCTAGAAGGCACTCAAGTAAGAAAATCATATTTTTTTTGGGAATTGGAAAATATATTTCACCTGCAACTGGTTAAAACTTCTGGCTCTTTCTGCTGCATCCTGCACCCACTTACAGATGGCATTGGTATGACTAGGGGCAATTTTAGCATCTGGCCAAGACGATATGAAATTCAGAAAATATTCAGCTTGAGTTCAGTGGGATATTTTTATGTGATTTACAGCTACTTCCCTATGTCGTTTATTGCTAGCCACCACTGCATAGGAATATCTTATAAGAATATTCCAATTGTCTATCATATCATGACCTAGTGTACAAGGCAAGAGATAGATCAACATATGGATTCATCTTACGGTGTCAGGCACTGGAAGTCTGTGAATAGAAGAAGATATACAAGGTTTTAAATGTACAGAGCGAGAACTGAGGAAACTTATTCTAATCATTAGATGCATAAACTTTTATTTATACCTGCCTAAAAGATATTTTTTTCCTAAAAGTCCAGAATGAGGTTGATAGTGCTGTATAAATAATTATTTATATAACATATACTTCTCTTATTGGATATAAATCATGTGAAGTAGAATATACCAGAATTTCTCAGTTTGTAGACTTAAACATGTAAGAGTACCAAGAACACTAAGAACATCTATGCAATAAATTTTGTGTTCCTTGCATCCCTATGTGTTAGATCACATCTTGGTGTGTCAGCGCGTATTGTCCTGTTCAAATCTCAAGGTGTTCATTGTAATTGTGCACTAAATTGCCTTAATGGCTTGAAGAAATGAGTGTTTCTGTGACAAAACTTCTGTATCTATTAATCAAGTCAGGTATTAATAGATGACTAATTTGATTATTAAAATGTATAGCTTTAGATAATGCATTTATATGTTTAAAGCAAAATTTTACATAATTATGTATTTAACATGTGTGAAAATGTAAGATTTTACAAATTTAAAATAAAAACATATGTAATTTAAATTTCAGATTAATTTTTCTTTCAGGATTGTTGACTGTATCAAAATTCAAATATAACAAGAAACAGCTTAGTGAAAGCCAAGAAAAGTAAACAAATAAAGAGTAATGAACAAAATCTCAAAATGTTTAAACTATTATACTAAAATCAAGAAGAAATTATCAACTAGTTCTCAATTGAAAGATATTATTAAAAAATTGAAAAAAGAATAAATTAATAACAAATAATAGTAATCATAATCAAATGTAGACCCATCATACTAAAAAAGTATTTTTCTTCATTCTAAAATATTACAAATTTATTGTATTTTGACATAAGGAAGTAAACAGAATTATCTATCAAAAAATAAAAATTTAAGATTGAGATTTATCATAATGTTAATTCAAAAAAAATACATGGCTATTTTTCTAGAATTTTTAAATTAGGGGATATTGTCAGCTTTTGTATATTTGTAATTTTGTCTTAATTTTTTTTTTATTTTCATTTTTTAGAAACGGGGTCTAACTCTGTCACCCAGGCTCAAGTGCAGTGGTGTTGTGTCCGGAATTAGTGGGTTCTTGGTCTCACTGACTTCAAGAATGAAGCTGTGGACCCTTGCGGTGAGTGTTACAGTTCTTAAAGATGGTGTGTCCGGAGTTAGTTCCTTCAGATGTTCAGATGTGTCCAGAGTTTCTTCCTTCTGGTGGGTTCGTGGTCTCACTGACTTCAGGAATGAAGGCGCAGACCTTCGTGGTCAGTGTTACAGCTCTTAAAGGCAGCACGTCTGGATTGTTCATTCCTTCTGGCGGGTTCGTGGTCTTGCTGGCTTCAGGAGTGATGCTGCAGACCTTCGTGGTGAGTGTTACAGCTCACAAAGGTGGCGTGGACCCAAAGAGCGAGCAGCAGCAAGAGTTATTTGCAAAGAGCGAAAGAACAAAGCTCCCGCAACGTGGAAGGCGACCTGAGCAGACGTGGCCCTGCTGACTCAGGCAGCCTGCTTTTGTTCCCTTATCTGGCCCCACCCACATCCTGCTGATTGGTCCATTTTACAGAGAGCTGATTGGTCTGTTTTGACAGGGTGCTGATTGGTGTGTTTACAATCCCTGAGCTAGACACAGACTGCTGATTGGTGCATTTACAATCCTCTAGCTAGACATAGAAGTTCTCCAAGTCTTCACTAGAGTAGCTAGACACAGAGCACTGATGGTGCCTTTACAAACCTTGAGCTAGTCACAGAGTGCTGATTGGTGCATTTACAATCCTTTAGCTAGACATAAAATTTCTCCAAATCCCCACCAGATTAGCTAGATACAGAATGCTGATTGGTGCATCCACAAACCTTGAGCTAGCCACAGGGTGCTGATTGGTGCATTTACAAACCTTGAGCTAGACATAAAGTACTGATTGGTGCACTTATAAATCTTTAGCTAGACATAAAAGTTCTCCAAGTCCCCACCAGATTAGCTAGATACAGAGTGCTGATTGGTGCATCCACCAACCCCAAGCTAGACACAGTGCTGATTGGTGCATATACAATCCTCCCTCTGGACACAAAAGTTCTCCAAGTCCCTCCTGACTCAGGAGCCCAGCTGGCTTCCTGTAGTGGATCCCGCACCAGGGCCAAGGGCGGAGCTGCCTGCCAGTCCCACACCACGGGCGTGCACTCCTCAGCCCTTGGGCGGTCGATGGGACTGGCCCCTGGACAAGGGGGCGGCACCCGTCCGGGAGACTTGGTGGCAGCCCACCGCGGTGGGGGGGCTTGGGCATGGCTGGCTGCAGGTCCCGAGCCCTGCCCCACGGGGAGGTGGCTAAGGCCCAGCGAGAATTCGAGCGCAGCGCAGGCAGGCCGGCAGTGCTGGGGAACCCAGCGCCCCCACTGCAGTTGCTGGCCCGGGTGTTAAGCCCCTCACTGCCCGGGGCCAGCGGGCCGCTCCGAGTGCAGGGCTTGTGGAGCCCGCGTCCACCTGGAACTGGCACTGGCCTGCCATAGCCACAGGCAGTCCCGGTTCCCGCCCACGCCTATCCCTCCACACCTCCCTGCAAGCAGAGGGAGCCGGCTCTGGCCTCAGCCAGCCCAGAGAGGGGCTCCCACAGTACAGCCGCAGGCTGAAGGGCTCCTCAAGTGTGGCCAGAGTGGGCACCCAGAGGGAGCGAGGACTGCCAGCACACTGTCACCTCTCAGTGTGATCATAGTTTTCTGTAGCCTAGAACTCCTGGGCTCAAGTGCTTCTTCCACCTCAGCCTCCTGTGTAGCTGGAACAATAGGTATAGGCCACCATGGCTGGCTAATTTTTTAATATTTTGTAGAGACAGGGTCTTTCTATGCTGCTCAAACTTTTATTTATTTATTCTAAATAAATATAATCTTTTCAACTTAATTTCATATTTGTATAATGTATTTTTTTTTTCTTAAAGAGCAACTCCCCCAGGTGGAAAAATGTCATGTCCCACTTCTGTTTTCCACTGACCTAGCTGTGAGCTCAGCCCAATCCAAGACCCTCAGTCCATCCAAGCCAGGGCAGGCCACACACCCAGGTTCAGCTGCTCCCTCATATGATTGTTAAAATAAGGTGGTGCCCCATTTCTCCTCCAAGAGACTAACTCTGGGCTTCAGTGGGCCAAAAGTAACTTCTGGATGTTCATGCAGCCCCTTAAATTAAAGGGCCAGCTGACTTCCATAGGCCACTTATTAGGACCGGGCTTAGCTTCAGCTCAGTGAGACCATCCTACAGAACAGGCCTAGGGTCCTGGGGATGGGTTGTATTCTGAAGCATCTGAGATTAGAAGCACTCTGATCTTTGTGACTAAAACCTACTCACTGCATTCACATAAGACCCACATTTGCTCCTGGATAAATATTCCCCAGCTGTCACTCTTGCTGCCGAAAACTGTTCCACTTCTCCAGGCTTCTTTGTGCCCCCCACCCCCCAGGAGGACAGCATGTTCCTCTTCTCCTTGCTTCTTTGTCCCCCTTAGGAAGAGTTGAGAGCAGCAGGCTAAGTAAATTAGGCAACCTTGTTGTGAGTCCTGCGAAGGGGTCAGGGAAATATCCTGCTACACTATAATTTCTTATTTATTTATCAGCATTCACCAATCTAAACTCCAGGAAGGCAGGAGGATGTTCATATTGATTCTTCAATATCTATTGCATTACCAACATGTAGTAGGTGCTCAAAAATATCAGTTAAACGAATCCTTTAGTTCTATGTCTAGTGAGCGGTAAATCTTTCACTTGTTAAGTAAAATGTACTTTTCTGATTACAAAAGTAAAAAATGCTAAATACAGAAGAGTATAGAGAAAAAAGTTGACCCATGTGATTCAGGAATATGATTTTTATAGCTTCCTGATAAATATATATGTTCAGGCATCTACTGATCATTTATGCATTTATAAGTGACATTACTATATTTACATTTCTTTGAATTTTTATCATGTAATAGGCATTATATTAATTACTTAAATATTATTCAAAAATATGATATACGATTTTTCTGCTACATTCCATTATATGGATGTGTCATTATTTAACCAATCTAGTCTTGAAAGATATTTATTTCTAGATTTTTGTCTTCACTAATAGCCCTGTATTGAGCACCTCTGTATATGTGTGTGCTTGTGTGTGCGTTCACTGAGTCAGTGGGTCAGTCATTATACCCACCGACTCAGTAAACACACACACACACACACACACACACATATACAAGGGTGGTCATTACACTGAATCAACATAACCCTTTAATCAAATTCTGGCATGAATAAATATTATTGTAAGAAGGACTGAGCTTAATTGGGCATAGAAATGATCTGTAGCACAGGATTTCATTAGTCTGAATCGAGAGCCAAATGTTGTACTAGTGAAAAAAATTAGAAAAAGAGATCATAATCTAAATAATTTAAAAAGCATGCCTCTTAAATTTTTCTGATGGTTTGACTTCTTGCTGCCTTCCTCAGGGTTAACTAATTCCTAGAAATGGCAAACAACTCACCTAGGAGTGTGCCTTTTATACGCCAATCAACCAATCCAGAGCCCATATCTCCCGCTGACTCCCAATGGGGTTCTTATACTCAAGGCCCTATAGCCCTGCCTTAATCACTCCAGGGTCAGATACCAGACAACTGGAGACAGCCCCTATTCCCCAGAGCCGACTGAAATTATTAAAACTAGTCAATCCTAAACATGCTTATTTTGCCTTTCTCATTTCTTCCTGTGGAAACCACAATAGGGGCTCTTACCCAGGTTTTCCCTCAATCCCTCTGCCTCTTCACTGATGCTGGCACTTCCCCATGTGGTCCTGTGAGGTGCAGTGTGGGGTCCTTCCTTGTTTCCAGGAATCAATAAATGTAAAAAGTTTTCTTGCTTCATGACAATCATTTGCCTGTTTGAATGTCTTACCACACCTGATTAGAAAAAAATCCCAAGCACCCTTAAAACAAAGGGTCATGCTCATACTCCTTTGTCACAAAAATAGAAAAGGAACAGAAGTAATGGCCAGAAAACTAAGCCTGCTCACAGACAAATGTATGTCACATTGAAATAAGTGCATGCATGGGGCCTGGAAAGAACTCTGTACTTTCTGCTGCTTTAGACGGCAGTTTTACCCCACACATTGAACTGACAGAAGTTTCTGTCCCTTTTAAGGGTAACTTAAAGGCACCAAAATAAGACATGCTCAGAGAAGATTCAATTTATATTATTCTGTAATGGCTCCCAGTGTCTTACACACAGGAGACACTCGATAAACACATTGAATGAATCAATGATAATGGATCTAGGCAGTGTGGGACGCCTAGATACCCAACTATAATTCAGTGTGGGAAGGGATATGATAGAATTAGAACTAAGTATAGTGGAATCACAGAGGGGAGGAAGATTGATTTAACTAATACTTAGCTTCATCCCAAAGCTTCCCTTTTGCTTATCTTCTGGTGCTGCCTCTGTGCATTTCACCCGGGAGTTCCTTCAGTCCCGGTGTATCCAGAGCTGGGGAGAAGGGATCAAACTGGAGCCTGCAGCCCCTCCTGTCTGCCCATTGTGAGGCTCAACACAGAAGCTTTATTAAAGGAGTTGAAAGTAATCATTAAAACGAGTCTTAGGGATTACCCTCAGATTTCTTTTATCCCTGCTTGCTCCTTCCCCATAGGCAAGAATAATGAGTTGCTTGCATTTTTATTCTCGGAAAGTCAATGAAAATTTGAACTCCAGGAAGTGTATTCCATTAAAATTAGAGGAATATATCAGATAAATTGTCCAAAGAAGAATCTGCCCAAATTTAAATTTTTGAGGCAAGCTTGATTTATATTAATACAATAGAATATTACAGTTACATAAAATATTCATATGATTAAGGAGAAAATTGTCTTGAACTTGGAGCAGTTGAGACTCTGAGGAGAAAGTCTTGAAAAATTACATTATGAAAAGGTTTCTCTCTTAGGAATTTGAAATCTATATGAAAATTTAAAAAGAGATACACTTTTAAACTTTTCAGAGAACATTTTTTATTACATAGACTTTTTTTAAAACCACAAGTGATTGAAGTAGCTAGACGCAGGCCCAATTTTTTATTAAAGGATAACCACCAACATTATGATTACTATAATGTTTTAATATAAAATTAATACTGAGAAGTTGTTTTCCACATATGCTTCATATATGAGTTCATATAACAATACTTCTCTAAAAAATATGTAGCTAAATTGCAGCTATGAATCACCTTTATATTTCTCAAGGAAAGATCATGAAAAAGAGCACTGTCCCATGAGATCTACTTAATTAAATGCACCTGGCACCAAGTAGGTGTTCAATAACACTACTGAATGAATGAATGGATGAATGGGTTCTGTTTTTTCCCAGGACATCTATGTAATACCCTAGACATTTCTTAGAAAGATCTATAATGTTAATAAGCTATGATGTTTAGAGGACTCTAGTTACTAAAAATTAAGCAACGTTTATTACTCTTACATTATGTCATATATTTATCACACATTATAAATTCCTGATATTTCTCTGATCTTTCTTCGTAAGTAAGGTCATTTTTAGGGGTTCATTTAGTACTTCATTAATGGGACGAATTTTAAAATAAATCAGTCTCAGGTGACAAATACTTCTCTAAGTTAAAGAGAGACATGATGATGATGTTGATAAGGGGAAATAGAGAAGCAGGAAGATGAATGAGTGTGGTCTAAAAATTTTTTTAATATCATTTTATGAATTAAAAAAAGATTAAAATATTTATCATCCAGTGTCCAAATGATTAAGAAAGGATGTCCCTTCTACATGTTGCATTCTTTTTTTTTTTTTTCTTTCCTTCTTTCTTTCTTTCTTTTTTTTTTTTTTTTTTTTTTTTTGAGATAGAGTTTCGCTCTTGTTGCCCAAGCTGGAGTAAAGTAGTGCAATCTCAGCTCACTGCACCCTCTGCCTCCTGGGTTCAAGCGATTATCCTGCCTCAGCCTCCTGAGTAGCTGGGATTAGAGGTGTTCATCATCACGCCCAGCTAATTTTTGTATTTTTAGTAGAGACGGGGTTCAGGATGGTCTCGATCTCCTGACCTCGTGATTCGCCCACCTCGGCCTCCCAAAGTTCTGGGATTACAGGCATGAGCCACCGCGCCCAGCTGTATTGTTTCTAACTGTTAAATCAATGCTATATTTTTACACAAAAGGATAATGTCCATTAATCTTAACTGCAAAAGCAAAGAAAGACAAAATAGCAACAGTGTCTCCCTGAGGTTGCTATGGGGACTGAATCAAGAGGGAGTCAATTTTTGTGACATTTACATGAGACTCTGTTTTAGACAGCAGTTGTCATCCCTATCCTATGCTATCCTATCCTATGCTATCCTATCCTATGCTACGCTATGCTACGCTACGCTATGCTATGCTATGCTATGCTATCCCATCCCATCCTGTCCCTTCCCTTCCCTTCCCTTCCCTTCCCATCTCATCCCATTCTATCCCATCCCATCCCATCCCATCCCATCCCATCCCTTCATATCCTATCCTACCCTAACCTATCCTATGCTATCCTATTCCATCCTATCCTATTCCATTCTATCCATTCATATGCTATCCCACATCCCATCCTATCCTATCCTATGCTGTCCTATTCCATCGTGTCCTATCCTACCCTTTCCTATGCTATCCCATCCCACCCCACCCCATCCCATTTCATCCTATCTTATCCCATCCCATCCCATCCCATCCCATCCCATCCCATCCCATCCTATCCTATCCTATCCTATCCTATCCTATCCTATCCCATCCCATCCCATCCTATCCCATCCTATCCCATCCCATCCCATCCCATCCTATCCTCTCCTATCCCAACCCACCCCATGCCACCCCATGCTATCCTATCCTATCCTACCCCATGCTATCCTCTCTTCTCCTCTCCTATCCTGTACTATCCCATCCTATCCTATCCTATTCTTTCTTTTCCTATCTTATCCTATCCTATCCTATCCTATCCTATCCTATCCTATCCTATCCTATCCTATCCTATCCTATTCCATCCCATCCCATCCCATCCCATCCCATCCCATCCCATCCTATCCCATCCCATCCCCTCTCATCCTATCCTATCCTATCCTATCCTATCCTATCCTATCCTATCCTATCCTATCCTATCTTATCCCATCCCATCCCCTCTCATCCCACCCCATTCCATCCTATCCTATCCTATCCTATCCTATTCCATCCCATCCCATCCCATCCCATCCCATCCTATCCTATCCTATCCCATCCCATCCCCTCTCATCCTATCCTATCCTATCCTATCCTATCCTATCCTATCCTATCCTATCCTATCCTAGCCCATCCCATCCCATCCCCTCTCATCCCATCCCATTCCATCCTATCCTGTCCTATCCTATCCTATCCCATCCCATCCCGTCCCGTCCCGTCCCGTCCCGTCTCATCCCATCCCATTCCATCCTATTCTATTCTATCCTATCCTATCCTATCCTATCCTATCCTATCCTATCCTATCCTATCCCATCCCATCCCATCCCATCCCATCCCATCCCCTCTCATCCCATCCCATTCCATCCTATCCTATCCTATCCTATCCTATCCTATCCTATCCTATCCTATCCTATCCCTTCAGCTCTCTGTTCCCAGGATGGGCCCAAATTTTCTCCTGTGCTGTGTAGATGGATAAGAAAGAGATACAGGGAAACTAATGGTACTAGGGACAGTAAAATGAATGCATACTCTGTGAAGAAGTTAAATAACCAATTGAAGAAAAACAACTAAAATGTGTAAAAAAGAAGTTTCAGCACTGATGTTGCCACAGCCTCCCCTCTCCAAAAAAAGATGCTTAGTTGTCTGGAAATAGCAACATGCCAGTCATAAAGCTCAAAGCCCAGTTTCTTATTCCCATCAGTGAGAAATCAGCAGTTTTATGGCTTTGATATCTACCTCTGCATGTCAGTAAATTAGTAGCCAAACTATGTGAACCATGATTCAGACACACATCTGTACTATTGATTTCTTCATCATCCTGTGTTTACTTATTTTATTAAATGAATTGAGTATCTAATAGATACTCATAATTGCTAATTAACCTTTTGCACTAGTGTGCAAATGCATCATACATACATATATACATATCTGCATATATATGTACATATATACACATATTATATATGTATATATTTACTTTTCCATTATATATGTACTTAACTCCTCTTTTTCTATCACATTGACTAATCTAGTACTCGGCACCAAATGTGTACTTTGGGACATACATTTTAATGTATAACAATATCTTACATTTGTAGAATATTTTTTAGAGAACTGCTGCCAGAATTGAATGAGACGATGAGCTATTTATAATTTCTCTCCCAAAGAGCAAACAAATCTCCTTCAAATCTTTCAAAACCTAAATTGCATTCTGATTCCTCACAAATTTAACATAATAAACTCATTCCCTTCCCATCTCCTGGCTGTCCCTTCTTCAGAGTTCTTTATTCCTCTGCTAGCAGGAGTATGCATTTCTGCTTTCAGTGATGCTTTCCTACATTTTTCTGTTGATTGAAATACTCTTTGGAGACTTTCTTTGAACTCCCTTTTTTATTTTCCCTTTTGACTTCTTGATTCCATTTCCTCCGAGATCAGATTCTCTGCTATTTCCTCCTGGGCCTCCTTACTGCGGCTCTCCTGGGGAACCCTCTATTCTGGGGATGGGAGGTGGTAGCCCTTTTCTTTCTGACCCGTCTTTCCTCATGTTGCCTCTGTTTCTTCCCTTTCATCTCCTGTGGCTCTCACACAACTTATTTTTAAAATAAAATAGACCTTGTTTGTCTCATTCCTCAACAGGAGCTAGCTTCCCACCTCCCCTGCCCCTAACTTGTCTTGCTCTATGTATTATTCACCTCAGCTTCTTTATTTTGCTATTGTGGAATCAATTCCATCAACAACCTGAAATTCACCTTTCTAATTTTCCTTGCCATATCTTCTTGGCAATGACTTTCTAAAGCTTCACTCTTCTCCTACAGCTACATTAACTTGGGCAGGGGTGACCAGCTCTTTCATTCTGGGCCTGTGAAGCTGGCCCCATGGGGCTGTCTTCTTCTCCAGCTGACATGCTTTCACGGTTTGCATAGCTATGATCTTTCTCATTACAAAAGTTACACACCATTCCATTTCTGCAAAGGCTCAGCAATGTCCTTGTTCTCCACACCTGGAGCACATTTTCTGACTGCATGGTATATTCAGATGCTCTCTTGAGCCCACCTAGCGTGGGTTTTTAGTTCTTTTCTGTGAAGGTTATATCATTAGTTACCCCTAGAAAAAGTCACAAATGGCACATAGTTAATCCTCTCCTCCTTGATTTCAAACTTTTAGAGTCCATTGACCCAGCCATCCCATTACTGGGTATATACCCAAAGGATTATAAAACATGCTGCTATAAAGACACATGCACACCTATGTTTGTTGCGGCACTATTCACAATAGCAAAGACTTGGAACCAACACAAATGTCCATCAATGACACACTGGATTAAGAAAATGTGGCACATATACACCATGGAATACTATGCAGCCATAAAAAAGGATGAGTTCGTGTCTTTTGTAGGGACATGGATGAAGCTGGAAACCATCATTCTGAGCAAACTATCGCAAGGACAGAAAACCAAACACCGCATATTCTCACTCATAGGTGGAAATTGAACAATGAGAACACTTGGACACAGGGTGGGGAACATCACACACCTCGGCCTGTCATGGGGTGGGGGGAGGGGGGAGGGATAGCATTAGGAGATATACCTGATGTAAATGATGAGTTAACGGGTGCAGCATACCAACATGGCACATGTATACATATGTAACAAACCTGCACGTTGTGCACATGTACCCTAGAACTTAAAGTATAATAAAAAATAAAAATAAAAAACTAAAATTTATTTATCAAACAAACAAAAAAAGAAATCCTAAACCTCCAGGTTGTTTTCATAAGAATTCATAGGGAGGGGGCTGCTTGCCTCATGTAAGAAACATGATTCCACAAATTCACAGTAATTTTCCTAAGTTAGATGGGGGGACAGCTTTTAGAAACCTTTATTTAAACTTCTAAAATAAATGAGATAGAATATCACCTGGAATTGGAAGTGTTTCTCAAATCTGCCCTACCTACCCACCTCTACTTGTGTGCATAACTTCCTGCCTGACTTTATACTTTAGTCCTTTTCGTTAGTGGCCACACTCTCTTTTTCTCTATCAGAGATAACAGTATAGTGCAGGAGTCAGCAAACTATCACCCACAAGCCAAATCAGACCCACCAACTGTTTTTGTAAAGAAAGATTTTCTGGAACAGTCATGCTCATTTGTTACGTATTGCCTATGGCTGCTTTTGCACTACAAGGGCAGAGTAGAGTAGTTTCAACAGAGATCAAATGGCCTGCAAAGTTAAAACTATTTCCTGTCTGGCCTTTTATAGAAAAAAAAAAAATTGCCAACCCCTGATGTAGTGCCAAGACTGTATTGCTCTATTTTATTGCCATTAATTTTCTTTTTAACCTCTCATTTCAACTTTATTTCTTCCTTTCTTCTGGTTAGTCTCAACAGCTTATACATTTCAATTCTTTTGACCCTGTACATTATTATGTATCTTTATCATGATGCATTCACTAGAATCATTTATAAGGTGCTCTATGTAGTCTTCATACTTTTTCTCCTGATACAGTTTCCAAAATCAATCCAGTTTCTCTGTGAAGCTAAAGATCCACATCAAAATTCTTAATTCTTGGTACTGTAGTTAAAGAAGATAACATTCATTGAGTATTCATCATATTTGTTCAGGATTTATTCACTCCTTTGCTGGCAGTGGGCTCCAATCCTTGTCAAGGTGATTCTCCTGCTGCACTAATTGAAATTCTATGTATTTTTTTTTGAGACAGGGTCTTGCTCTGTCACTCAGGCTAGAGTGCAGTGACACAATCTAAGTTCACTGCAGCCTCAACCTCCTAGGTTGAAGAGCTCTTCCCACCTCAGTCTCCTGAGTAGTTGGGACTACAGGCACATACTGCTACACCCGTCTAATTTTTTGTCTTTTTGGTGGAGATGGGGTTTTGCCATGTTGCTCAGGCTGGTCTCAAACCCCTGAGCTCAAGTGATTCACCTGCCTCGACCTCCCAAAGTGCTGGGATTACAGGCATGAGCCACCATGCCCAGCCTAAAATTCCATAATTCTTAATGTATGTTTCTCACGTATTTCTTACATCTTGTCAACTGCTATAAAATCTATGGGAGATGCAAACCAAAATTTTATTTATTTTCCCTTTGCCTCTACCTTTCTATTTTTGTATTCCCTCATCCACCTTAATCGACTCTATCACACTTTTACCTTTTTTTTTTTTTTGTCATCCTTGCCACTGAGCAATGTCTTGGTGTATTAGTCCGTTTTCACACTGCTATAAAAAATACCCAAGACTGGGTAATTTATAAAGGAAAGAGGTTTAATTGACTCACAGTTTCACATGGCTGGGGAGGCCTCAGGAAACTTACAATCATGGCTGAAGGCTAAAAGGAAGCAAGCTTGGACCTTCTTGCGTGATGGCAGAAAGGGGCAAAGGGGAAAGAGCCCCTTATAAAACTATCAGATCATGTGAGAACACACTCACTATTACAAGAACAGCATGGGGGAACCGCTCCCATGATCCAGTCAGCTCCCACCAGTTCTCTCCCTAGACACACGGGGATTATGAGGATTACAATTCAAGATGAGATTTGGGTGGGGATACCAAGCCTAACCACATCACTTGGCTAATGCTGGGAACAGGAAAGTATCTGCCAAATGGTTTCTTTTCCCCCCATTGCTCCTGTTATTTCCTTTTACCACTGTGGTATATGTGACTTGTGCCTCCTCTCCACCATCCTCCTCTCACCCCTATTCTGCCCCATGTGCTGCCACTTCCTGTTTTTCTTATTCTTGGTGTCCATACTGGCTTCTTTTCAGCATGTGCCACTCATTCCTAAGTGAACCATAGCTGCCATCTACAACAATGACAGAAGTATTATGTCCCTACTTTATTGATGCTCAAAAACTAGAGGGTAATTGAATTACGCAAGCTAAACACTGAGTTTTGTTTTGTGTAATTTCCACTAGGATGTATCCTCTAGAAAGACAAGAAGGGAGGAGGGAATAAGATATGCTGACTCTCTGATGTGCCAAGCCATTCCAGTCAATTACATAAACATTATTAAATTTGTTTCCCACCACAATCCTATCAGACCAATATTATTACTTCTGTTAAGGACTTACACAAGTAGATAACTTGTCTCAGTCTCCATAATAAGACCACATTAAAGAGATTTGACCATACAAAAGTTTAACTCTAGACTCCATGATTTTAAAACAGCTTTATTAAGGTATAATTAATGTATAAACACTGTACATACTGAACGGATACAATTTTTGAGTTTGGGCATATGCATATACTTATGAAACTATCACCATAGTCAAGGAAATAAACATATCCATTATTCCCAAAAGTTTCTAATGCCCCCCTTTTTTTATATTTGTTTTTCTTGTGAGAACACTTAATATGAAATACACTATCTTAACAAAATGTTTAAGGCACAATACAATATTGTTAACTTTAGGCACTGTTTGTAGAGAAGATCTCTAGAACTTATCTTGCATATTTGAAACTTTATGCTCATTGAGTAACAACTCTGTATTTTCCCCTCTCTTTAGCTAGCATTTTATTCTGGCAACCAGCATTTTATTCTGTGCTTCTATGAGTTCATTTTTTTTCAATACCTCATATAAATGGGTGAATGCAGTATTTCTCCTTCTGTGATAGGCTTGTTTTATTTATTATAATTTCCTTCAGGTTCATCAATATTACAATGGGTGGGAATGTAAAAATGGTGTAGCCGCTATGAAAAACAGAGTGGAGCTTCTTCAAAAAAATTAAAATAGAGCTACCATATGACCCAGCAATCCCTCTTCTAGATATATATCTAAAATACTTGAAATCAATATTGCAAAGGGAGAGCTGCACTCTCATGTTCATTGCAGCATGATTCACAATAGCCAAGATATGGAAACAACCTAAATGATCATCAATTGATGAATGGACAAAAAAATGTGTAATATACATGCAAAAACTATTACTCATAATTTTTTAAATGGGACATCCTGTCAATTCCCATGATCATTTGTACCATAGCATGTATTTTTGTACTACTACTTACCTTTTTATTTAATCTGTGTGTCTTGTTTCCTGAAGAGGACAGACACAAGATCCATTTTATTAGTGACCACAGAATTAAGGAAATAGTCTTGTATGTTAGTTTTACACATAAAATATTGGTTGATTGGTTGCCTTACTGCTGAAACAAGCTAGGTGCTTGCATTGCTACATTATGTCATTTCCAGTTAACAAACAAAACAATTAACATCAATATTTTTAAAATGCTGAAAAGCAATAATACCATTTTAGTCTGGATACCAGCTAGGAAGCCATGGCATATTCAAACCGGATATTTGCAAGAGTTTAATTAAGGAACATTTAATAGGATTTAGAAAAGCTGAGATGACACAAAGAAAAGATGGTGAAACTACACTTATATTAATCAGAGATCACATAAAGATTCAGGCACTGAGGAGGTATGGGAAAGAAAAAGTGATCCTGGGTATCAACTCTGTTGTCTTAGATCCTTACCTGGTCCAGGTTGAAAGACGATGTTTTTAAGTAAAGTACCTTCTCAGACAGCAAGGAACATCTAAACATCTTTATTTTCTGCACAGATAATTACATAATTTCTACTATTTTTCAAGGGAACTATGTCCCTGGACAATACATCTGTAGATTATTGGTTTCTTCACCTAAAGTAATCCTAAATAATCATACTTAAAGCATTCCATACCCTTAGTCTAGTTGCTAGAAGGTTGATTATCATGTTTACCTGTGGAATAGACTAGGTCTCCTGCCTTTATTATTTTTCCAAGGAACATTTTATCATGAAAGTAAAGGAAGTGGGTTAGAAGCTACTTCCTTTCTTTTCCTAATTCCTTTCTTTCCCTAAATCAGCAGACTAATACTACTGCAGGGCACTCACTCCCTAGGGCAACAGAGGATGAAGAGAGACCTTGGAGGAGCTGTAGCCCTCAGGAAAGGGAAGCAGATCACCTTGCAGAAGGAAGCTAGGGGAATAGCTGTGCATAATTTTCTCCTACCCTTAAACCTCCAGCAAGTACCTCCCATTAGATCACATCAGTCAAACATCAGAAGGCAAAGAGGCTCCTTGTTACAGACCACACAGACTTCAAGACACAAAACAGGGTGGAGTTGACCAACTAAGAAGTAGTAAACTCTTACTAAACTGTAGTCAACCAAAAATTTTAGCTTAGGACATTTTTTGGCTATTGTTCCCAAACAATTCAAAAAAGATATACTTCTCATCTTCATCTTCTTTTAGGGGAATTTTACTACTTTTCATTGTATTTCAACCCAGAGTTTGAGGTTTCTTAGCTAGATCTTATTAATCCATCCTGTTGCCACTTGAGTACTTTAATTATTAAAGAAGTAGAAGAGGTAGTCTCCATTTTTTATAATAGCAAAACACCGTTAATATGTAACACATTTCCTATTCAGTTATCTACTGACACAATAAGCAGTATAGTTTCCTGACATATATCATTTCATCTACCACATATACCATTGATCCTACATTTCAATGACTTACAATCAATTTGCAAGTATTTATTCAATAATTATTACATACCCAATACCATCCTAGGTAAAATGGGCTTACAGATGGGAGGGAAAACTCTCATTTTCAGAATTTTCAAAAATCTCTGTATTAGTTCATTTTTGCACTGCTATAAAGAACTTCCCTGAGACTGGGTAATTTATAAAGGAAACAGGTTTAATTGATTCACAGTTTTGCATGGCTGGGGAGGCCTCAGGAAACTTACAGTTGTGGTGAAACGGGAAGCAGGCACCTTTCTCACAAGCTGGCAATAGAGAAAGAGAGAGCATGTGAAGGAGGAGCTGTCAGACACTTACAAACCCATCAGACCTCTTGAGAATTCACTCAATATCACTAGAACAGCATGGGGGAACCACCCCCACGATCCAATCATCTCCAGCCAGGTTCCTTCCTCGACCCATGGGGATTATGGGGATCCTAATTCTAGATGAGATTTGGGTAGGAACACTGAGCCAAACCATATCAATCTCCAAATAATATTTATTAAAATAGTTCAAAGTAGTTCTATTCAATAAATGATTATAAGTTCTATTATAAAAGATATTTAAACACTTTAAATAAATGTATTGCAAATAACTTGCCCTATTCTTCAAATTGTGTTCATTGACAGCTAGCAATGATGTTCACATTGTATAAATTTTCATTAGAAATACAGGATATATTTTTAACCTTCTTTTTCAAACTTAGACGCTGTTTCTGGTACAGATATTTTTTCCCTACTGTTCATTTTCCTTTTGCAAACTTAATGAGAAAATGATGAGTCATAGAAGAGATTGGAGATGATTCATCAGACAATTCAAATTTGTTGAAAATCTATAAAACAAAGCCCTTTTATAGGCACCATGTGGCAAAGAAAATTGATTTCTAAAGTCAGATAACATGAGTTCAAATCCCAGCTTTCCCCTTATTAATGCTGAGATTTTACTCTTGCTATTTAACTTTTAAGCCCCCAAGTCTTCATTGCTAACAAGAAGTAATTTTCATTTCTACTCTATATGAATAGGAAAATGTACCATAAATTAAGGTATTGTACAAAGGTAGTTTTTGGCATTAAGAACATGGGAAAGTATGGTCTCTCCATCTCATGGAAATGCAAATGCTGCACACCCACTCCACTTGGAGCTGCTTTGCTTTTGTTCTGACCCTGATGGTTCTGGCAGGGTGGATGGGAGAAGTCAGTGAGCCCTGAGTGAGGTCATCATACTTTTAAAACAGGCTTCTGTTTTCTGTGAAAAGTCCCTTGAATCAAGATGAACCACCGCCTATGCATCCCTGAAGACCTGCTGGCATGATAATGAAGGAACCTGGCTGCCCTCATAGTTCAATCAAAACCCTTTACACTTCCTCCATAAAAGATCGGGGTGTGAATGCCTGAACTAAACTTTTCCTTGGGGAGTGAGCGCTGCATAGATCAGAAAAAAAAAAAAAAAAAAAACCTAGAAAAAAACATAAAGTAAAAGTTAAAAAGCTATTTTACTGGAAATAAATCAGTTTTTGCACTTTCCTGGGTGGACAGATCATCAAAAAGGATTGTTCATCTACAATTGTATCTCCCAGGTGTCCATCCTTTCATCCCCTCAAAGTCTGGATGCTTTTTTCATGTTCCACTATCATTAACCCAACAAAGTCACAGCTGCCACCCCAAGACCTTTGCTTAATGAGAAAATAAACTGAAGGCATTTGGGGAAAGAATTTTAAATGGAATCTCATTAATTTGTTGTTTCAGAAAGCAGTCACCATTAGCAATCATTCCATTGCTTCAAACAGAGAAGATGTTTTATGCAATCCAGTATATTATGCCCCCTCTCTGCGGGAAGGGACCAGGGCTAATGTCAGAGCTTGCCTTGTCATTCTGACTATACTGCAGCATTTCCTGGAAAACTGGAGGCATTTATATTCTTTCATTTTCTAATCTACTTAGAGGTTACTTCATGTTTTATTTAAGCTGGAAAGTCATCTTTAATCTAACACAAGAGGAATAGCTGCCTCACTGGGATTCTTCCAGTGACTTGATCCTTCCTCATGGCGTTCACGTCACTTAAGACCTGTAGGTAAGTCCAGTCGTTAAGTGATAATATTATATTCCTGGTTTTGACTCACTGCTCCCAGGACCACCTAACTCATAGATCCTGAAAGCGTATATTTTAATTTCAGTTCCCCTGAAGCAAGAATTATCCTGTTGGTAGCTTATTTGGAGGTGATTTTAGGATGCATAAGTGAGGGATGGGAGAAAGAAAGAGAAAGGAGAAAATCCAATAAATATCTCATTATTTCGTTTTCACTGTGGGCTACTGGAATTCAAGAGCAAAGGAGACCCTGAGAAACTTACCACTGAAATAAGGAAGGCTGAGTTCATATCTGGTAGCGGGACATCCCTCATCATGCTGACTCCCCAACCCTCCTGGGCTGTGACAGAGCAGGAGCACTGTCATCTGGGACAAACACCACCACTTTAGGTTCCAGTTCCCTTTCTAGCCTCATGCATTACAAGGAGATCATTTCTATTCTAACAAGCAGACAGAAAGAGCAGACAGTAAAACAAAGGTAAGACAGCCCAGGCACAGCGGGAAGTAGGGGGAAAGTCTCTTGGGTAACTGCCAAACTTCACCCTCACACAATGGGCCCCAGTAAAACAGCGGGCTTTAATAAGCACATTCCTTTCTCTTCAGATGCACTAAGATAGGGAAGCTAAAAGCAGACTTGGGGGATATGCCTGCAGCTGCAGAAAGATTTATGGGAACAGACACACAACTCTCCCTCTCAGATAAGCACAACAAAGAGACACAGAAGAAGTCCAAGCCTCTAATAAACTTCCCTACCCTAAATCCTTAAAAACTCTTAGCCTGTAAGCGAGTGTGGCTCTGAGCTAACTCAGCCAGCCGCCCCAGGTTTATTTAAAATAAACCTGTCCTTGCTGACCGAAACGCCACCCTTCATGTTTCTCTCCTCTTTCTTGAATTCTTATAGGCTGTACCTGCGTTCGGGCTGATGTGCCTCCCGTGGCTTCTGAGAAAGCAGAGAGAACATAGCCATGTGAAGGAATTGCCCATTCCAGCTATGTTGAAATCAGGGACAAGGGACCTCTGCTCCAGGGTAGAGCATGAGTTCTAAGAGGTGTGGGTGGCTGCTTATGCAGTGGAAAGCTGCATTTAATGTATCTTATGTTTTTGCCTCTTTTCAGCCAATGGAATTGCATGTTACAAGATTCAAAGCCACAGACTTAACAACATTATACTGTGCACTAGACAAAGCAATGCTGAGTTTCAGTTCCAGTTGTAAGCCCACCTAGTTATGTAACATCATTCATGGGAAGGCCTCAGATTTTTTTCAAGAGTGCTATGAAAATTATGGCTTTACATAGAATAAATGTGAAGGGGAAAAATTCACCTTGATACCACTGGCCTCTCTCTGTAATGTTTTTCATTGCTATTTCCTCCTCTCATTTTATTTTAGTTATAGGATTATTGTTTTAGAGACAAGATCTCACTCTGTTGCCCAGTCTGGAGTGCAGTGGCAACATCATAGCTCACTGCCGCCTGGAGCTCCTGGGCTCAAGAGATTCCCTCACCTCAGCCTCCTGCATAGCTGGGACTAAAGGTGTGTGCCACCATGCCTGGCTAATTATTTTAGAGACATAGTCTTGCTATGTTAACCCAGGATGGTCTTGAACCCTGACCTCAAGTGACCCACCAACCTCAGCCTCTGGAGTCACTGGGATTTCAGATGTAAGTCACCATGTCCAGCTGTTCCCTTTCATTTGAGAAGTCCCATTGTCTCAAGTTATTCTTCCTCTTTCTCCTTTCAACATCTTTCATTAGTAATAGATTTATTAGACTTATTTTACTAGGGTTTGGGAGTTGTTTGGGAAATATTTGCATTTAGTTAGGAGGTAAGAAGATGCAGTACAAATGGGTCAAATTCTGTTTGCGAAATTTCAGCATTTAGACGACTTGAGGGAGATATAAGAGGAAGATAATAGCAAAGGTAAGTTGACTGCTGATGGGGAACATAATGTCATCTTCTGGTATGAGATTAGAACTCATGGAATTGATATTCCCTAATGTTATATATGTTTGGATAATAGTTCTAAGTTACTTCATTTTTAAAACATGTATAGATATAAAATCTTGGGAAATGCATTCTTTCTCTGATGACTATTTGGATACTATCTTTGTTTATTTGCATTGTATGTTTCTTTGAAGAAATATAAGGTTTTCATGCTCTTCCTCAATTATAGCACTTGATTTTATTTTTGTCTTGATGGCTATAGAGTTTTATTTTTATACTTTATGAAAATAACTTTATTTTGAGATGCCCTTGTATTTTTCATACTCTATTACTATTATTATTATTTTCCTAACATAAATAGAGTTTGCTCTTTCAATCTGTAAGTTCAGGCCTTCATTAACTTCTAGAAAGCGCTTCTCATATATGTCTTTGAACATTTTCTCTATCTTGTTGTTGTGTTCTCTTTTTTAGGAGTACCAATTAAGCTCTCTCATGGCCCCCCTACTCCATCATTCTTTAATATCTATTTCATTTATTCATTTGCACAAGTCTGTCCTCCATTTCTCTGATCATGTCTGCAGACATGTTTCTGAAATAATATATTTTATTTGCCTCATCTCATATTAATCTCCTAATATATTTATTTTCCTAATCTCATCCAGTTTACTCTTCCTTTTCCAACAATATTGTAATTTCTCCTTTGAGATATTGCACCTCTTCCTTGACTTCCTACGTTAAAGAGGTCAATTTTTCTCTATCTTTTCATTTTGGGAAAATCTTTTTTTTTTTTTTTTTGAGACGGAGTCTAGCTCTGTCGCCCAGGCTGGAGTGCAGTGGTGCAATCTCGGCTCACTGCAATTTCTGCCTCCTGGGTTCACACCATTCTCCTGCCTCAGACTCCCAAGTAGCTGGGACTACAGGTGCCTGCCACCCTGCCCGGCTAATTTTTTGTATTTTTAGTAGAGACGGGGTTTCACCGTGTTAACCAGGATGGTCTCGATCTCCTGACCTCGCGATCCACCCACCTCGGCCTCCCAAAGTGCTGGGATTACAGGCCTGAGCCACCGTGCACAGCTGAAAATCTTTTTATAATTTTACTTGATCATTGGAAAAAAAAATCTTAATCCAAATATTATAAAGCTTATTTACTTTTCTTAGTGTACATTTTCTGATATACGTTTTGTGTCTGGCTGTGATATTTCAGGTAGCTTTTTTCTTATCGGTGTGTTGTTTATAAACTATTAAATATTTTGACTTCTCTCTTTAATACTTTAACTTAAGTACCAATGCATACCATACAAATTAAAGATCTTAAGAGTTATATAAAAGTTATAACGTGATTAATCTTGATAAATGCATGCATCCATGAACTAAGCTCCTATCAAGATGCAAAACATTTCCATCATCTCAGAAACTTCTATGTTGTCCTTTCATAGTCAATCTCCAGCTTCTTCCTAGAAGAAAACACTGTTTTAATTTAATACACCACAGATTAGTTTAACTTGTTCTTGAACTTCATAAAAATGGAATTATAAAACATATTCTCTTGTGAGTCTGTTTAATTCATCTTTGTTGCATGCATTAGTAGTTTACTCATTTTTGTTGATGAGTTGTGTTTTATTGCATGGATACATGAAAATTTGTTTATTCATTGTGTTATTGATGGGCATCTGGGTTGTTTTATTTTTGGATATCATTAAAAATTGCTATGATCTGTTTTTTATTATTAATCATTAACTGGAGGTATTTTCTACTGCTTGATAGTTAAGAAAATAGTGTGGACTAAATTATTGGTCACAGGAGCTTAAGTGTTGGTCTATTGATGGTTGATTTTCACATCATCACTCGTCTTGGTAGCTGTGACTGTACTCTGGGCTAGCAGCAAGTCTCCAATACTCAAAGTGAAGACTCCTTCCACCTCCTACTCTTATTCTTTAGTCAAAGTACTTTATGTGGTGATTTATTCTTTATGATTCTGCTCATCAAGAACAGCAAGGAAATGTTCCTTCTGTTTTGTCAAACCAGCAGCTTGCATCTTACAGAGATGATGTGCCTGCAGCTTTCCTCACCCTGCTCTGTCTTGCTTGACACTGTCTGACAGTTAACAGTGCTCAGACACTTCCTAACAGCTGCCTTCCTCTCACCAAGCTTTTTATTCTAAACTAGAGCTATTGGTTTGCTCCTCAAATTGTGAGTTCCTTGGAAAACTTATGCTTCATCTTCTTTATGGGAGAGAAGAAAACACATTATTAACTTTTGCGTCTGACTATGTGGCAGACACTGTTCCATGCAGCCTGCATGTAAGGACTCATTCTTCACAACCCCTACATGAGGTGCCCTGAGTATTTATACTCTGTTACATGTGAGAAAACTGAGGCACAGAAAATAACTAACTTGCCCAAAGTTATGGCTACTAAGTAATAAAAGAGGGCTTTGAGCCTCTCTGAATCATACACTGCCACTCTGAAGAAGTTTATGGTATGATTTGTATAATGTTTGGAATATCTTTTTATTGACTAGATTCCTGAGACATGGCTGTGTACACTTTTCTTTAAAGATAAAGTTTCTTTTTTCCTGCTTGTCTTCATTTTTTTTTTTTGTATTATACAATGTCGAGAAAAGAAAAAGGAGAGGAAACTTTTTTCTGCCATTGTTAACAGAAAGTTCAGAATTTATTTTAAATGGCACCTTGAGTCCAGTGAAATTATTTTTCTAATTACTCAGAATGGGCATTTTGTTAACCCTCTAATTGAGGTCCATGTATTATGAGTATAGATATTGACAAGGTAAAGCTTCTGGTAGAAAGGGAAGTACATGGCTGCTATCTTAGTTTGTGGTTCTTATGCTTGCTTTTCTGTTTCTTTTCTTTTCTTTTTTTTGAGACAGAGGTTCTCTCTTGTTGCCCAAGCTGGAGTGTAATGGCAGGATCTCAGCTCACTGCAATCTCCGTCCCCTGGGTTCAAGCTATTCTCCTGCCTCAGCCTCCCAAGTAGCTGGGATTATAGGCATGAACCACCACACCCAGCTAATTTTGTATCTTTAGTAGAGATAGGGTTTCACCATGTTAGTCAGACTGGTTTCAAACTCCTGACCTCAGATGACCCGCCCACCTCAGCCTCCAAAAGTGCTGGGATTACAGACCTGAGCCACCACGCCTGGCCTTATGCCTGTTTTTAACACAGCAGAGGCCACGATGCAGTGGAAAAAAGTCAATCCATCAAATCTAGTTTATATCCCTCCTGGCTGAATATTTCCCCCTTCTTCATGGATCCATGACTTATGGCCTACTGAAGCAACAAGGACAAAGAGGAGCAGAGCCTCAGAGAACGTCAGGCTGAAGACCAATGTTGCTACAAAGTGACACCAACTTCTGCTTAGAGAGAAAATCTCTCAAAAATGTAGAGGATTGTTAGCCTGAAAAATCTGGACAGAAGACCACCTGAAGGCAGGGGAGGCCTAGGAAGGGAGGGGCACATAAGTTACTAAATACCCTCTGTGGAATAAACATATGGATGGGACCATGTTGCACCCAGTTCGTACTTTGTACATGAAGATTTTAGTAAATTTTACAATTGAAAAGCATATTGTAAGCACTTAATATTTAAGATTGTATTAGGTTGGTGCAAAAGTAATCACGGTTTTTGCTATTACTTTCAATGGCAAAAAACCGTGATAATTTTTGCACCAACTCAATACAAGCTATGCTGAAGAGATTCATAAGAAAAATAATAATTGTTCTCAAACTAAGGCAGAGCTATGGTACCACTCAAAGCATTACATTTTTCCACCTTCCATTCAAGCCTTGACCACAAGCATGGAGAATAATTCTCTTCTTAATAGACTTTTCATTTACTGCATAAAGTATAGCACAATGCTGCAATTTTCAAAATTGAACCTGTTCAAGAAATCATTAGTATTCAACTAAAAATATCCTCTTTGCCAAACTATATATTTGCTGACTCCAAAAATATGGTCTGAGCTAACTCAAATAAGTAGTAAAAATTTAATCATATATTTGTACATGCTTTTACTTACTATATTCTAATTATTTATTTCAAAGATTTTGGTTATTTAGGCTTTATATTTTATTTTTCTTAGGCTTTATATCGTAATATACTAAGAAGCATGGCTATATCATACAGGTTAATCATTTGTTATTGGAAGCAGTGGTTGTCAGCTAAAACATTTTAAATTCATGATGCATCATAGCCACTTTATGAAGAGCAACAATTTTCAAAATTTGGGGATAGAGCAACTCAAGCCATTTTCTAATAAATGGGGTGGGGACATTTGTCGGTATATATCCTTGATATGGATCCACTAACAATCCCAAGATGAAGAGAATGTTTATCATTATAATACACTTCAGCAGTGGCATGGTACAGCAGCAGAATCTTCCCAGAGTTCATTATCAAGGCCTGACTCTAGTCTGTTCACAGCACTTACTAACCCTTTGCCTTAGAGAAAGTCACTATTTTTCCAAAGCTTCAGTTTTCATGCCCCAAAAAGTAAATTATTTCTGACTCTTGTTGGTCACGGGCATTTTACATGGCCCAATAACTAAACTTAACTCTACGTATTATTATAGTATTAGAAATATGTTCAAGTTAAGAAACAATATCCTTAAATCTCCAAACAATCTAACTCTTATTATGCGTAAGTTTCATAATACTATATTTTATTCTATGCCATTACAGGGCAAACACTTATTGACAAAGAATCACACTTCTGTGCTTAGGGTCTTGCACCTGAAAGCACGATAAATAGAACCATGGTGCTATGCAGGTGCAAAGAACCAAAAGCCATTGGATACAGGACATGGTTGGTGATGGAATAGGCATTAATCAACTTACTTATCTGAAGAAAGTATTATAAAAATGGACATCTAGAGTATATTCTGGAGGAAAAAACAACATTTGCAATTAATACACAATAGTATAGTCAGTACACAGACTGGTACTTCTTGAGCAGATGTTTCTGTTGTATAGGGACAGTGAAAATGTAAAGCAATAAATTTTAGGATTTCTTTGTTTTAAACATATTTAGTGGAAAATTGAACCAGTGACAGTGAGACAAGATCATTACTTTAATGACTATCAGCAATAGAAACTGATAGAAGTGTTTACAGTTAAAATTTTTATCAAAGTATAATCAAGCTTCTGAAGGATTAAAATTAAAAACAAAAACCAAAATGTTTATCAAAATAATAGCTAACATTTACTGAGCTCTTTCTCCACGACAAAGAAACAAGGGCTTCACATAAATTATCTGTTCTACTTGTGACCACATTTCAATGAATTAGATATTATTACTACTCCATTTTATAGACAAAGGCACTTTTCTCAATCCTAGAGAGTTTGGCTAAGGTCAAACAATTAATAAAGAAGAGAGGCAAGATTTGACTCTTATGCAGCTGAATCAAAGGTTCATGATCCGAATATTGTATTATCTATGTTATTCATGCTCTGAAATAATGATATTTCTAGTTGATCTCAAGGTGATCATAAAGTGAAACAGAAGGTTGACATCTCCCATAAAATTATGGAAATGGGAACACATTTTTCAATACTTGGTTACTTAAACTACTCATGAGTCAAAGACAACTAGAGTAGAGGAGCAGATTTAGGTACAATGAGAATATAAAAGAAAACATATTCCATGGTTTGCCAGATGAGTGACTGTCTTCATGAAAAATACATAAATAAATAAAAACCCTAGTTTGGAATCACTTGAAACCAAGGCCAGAGTTCTTTAACACCAGAAGTATTCAGCAAGTTCCTGGAGCAATGGCAAACCAGAAACGGAAGTGTGGCTTTGTAGTGGAAATGAGAAGACAGCAGAGTGGGAGACACGAACACCTGAAGCAAGACAGATGAAGGTCTCTGCGCATGAGTTCTGAGGGCTTGTTTAATGTCTCCCGGCACATGCAGTTGGGCTGGGAATGGAAAATTAAATGAGACAAATGACCTCAAGTGTTGCTAGCTTTCAGAAATCATCAGGAAATGAAGACAAATATGAGCCAATTGATAACCCTCTGAGGCACACACATATGGCTACAAGATTTGTGGGGCTTCAGCATCCCATACCATCCACTTCATTGGCTTGAGTGAGAATGGAAACACAGAATCTACAGACTATAGATCTAGAATCTGCCTATTTTCTGATCTCCAAAAATCCCATCATTAGCTTTCATTATTCCCTTAACTGCACATAAGCTAGTGTTTTAATTAAGCACATAGATTTGTTACATATCAAAGTCAGATTTCTATTACATGGCTGTAGTGTAGTGTAAATATAGCCAAATGGATTCTACTTACAAACACATATGATGCCATTTAAAGGTAGTTGGAATAACACCCTTTAGTTACTCAGTTTTTTTTTTTTTTTGAGACGGAGTCTCACTCTGTCGCCCAGGCTGGAGTGCAGTGGCGCAATCTCGGCTCACTGCAAGCTCCGCCTCCCGGGTTCACGCCATTCTCCTGCCTCAGCCTCCAGAGTAGCTGGGACTACAGGCACCTGCCACTATGCCCAGCTTTTGGTATTTTTAGTAGAGACGGAGTTTCACCGTGGTCTCGATCTCCTGACCTCGTGATCCGCCCGCCTCGGCCTCCCAAAGTGCTGGGATTACAGGCGTGAGCCACCGCGCCCGGCCAGTTACTCAGTTTTTTAACTGTTACTATATTAATGTATTTCAGAGTTATCCAGCCCAATATGCGTTACTTCAGAAGGGGGAAAAAAAAGTCTCACCAAAAGTGTGCTCAGACAATAATTTGTTTTATTCCTCTGGAATGTTTTTAGCTTGCACATATATTGCCCTAAGAGAAAGCTCTTTTTCTGGGTCAGTAAAGAAAAAAATTAATTTTAACTTCTAAAATTAAATCCTGGGATCAAAATATCAAAATGAAATCATACTTTCATGGTGTTCATGTCAAATATCCTGTATTTTCTTTTTCTTTTTCATTAAGACTAGAGATCATTTGTAGCAAAACTACTTGAATGACATATCTGGAGTCATTGGTCCGTTCATTGTGTACAAATCTGTACATGCTTTGCACTGAGTTTTAGGATACCATAGAAAGAGTGTGTACTTTTTTTCTATGATTTGTCTTTACTGTAAAATTATAGTGTTGATGATTAATGTTATTGTAACTACTATTTATTGAGTGTATCCTATGGACTGGATCCTTAAAGCATACTATTTTTACTCCTCATCTGAATCCAGTGCATGTGATTAGAGCCATTACCTTCATTTTACAAATGAGGAAAGAGATTTAGCCACTAAAATTTCTCAAGCTGAGAAATGGCAGGTCAAGGCCAAGATTTGAATGCCGAAAGGACGAACTCCACATCCCTTCCTTTTGCATGATTTTATGCAGTGTAATGCAGCTGTGGAATTTCAGAACTTAGAGTTTCACAGATCTCTTTGAATGTGTTGAATAGCATGATGCAAGAGAAATAACATGTACAATTACTTTAAATGTAATGCAATAGAATCTCATAGCAACATTCAAACACTACTACTTGCTAGGATCAGCAACTTTAAAAAAAATATTTAAGAAGAACTGGGATAATTGTCTACAGAAAAAACGAAATTATCAGTCTGCCTGCTTAGCCAAATAGCAGATATATTACTATTTCTTTGGTATCATTTGTATTATTTGAGTTTGTTTGTCACATATGTTCTCAGAGTGCAATATCGTTCAAGTGCAAAATAAAGACAGACTGGTGTAGCTCCTTCATTAATTTTCACAGCAGTTGGTTCTCTGCTGGTTTTTAAAATTAACATAAGAAAAAGTTTGAAAAATTAGCTTTTTTTCAAATCACATATAGCACTATGATTTTCCAAAAATCCCGCAAACTAATTCAATTGCATTAGTCCAAGATAATCACCCAGCAAAAGAGAGAAATATGAAACACTACGTATCCCAGCTGATTTCAAAGGCCTTGCCTTTTAGTATTTAAATGTTACGTGGTAACAAAGATAACACTCCAGTTAATGCCACATGATACCAAAAAAATCAGAACAGCGATGGTAAATAAATAATGTCTCATAGTGTGGAATAATTACTTGAACTAGTTTTGCTAATAAAACATAAGTTACAACTGTATTTTAGAAGGAGTCTTGGAAAGTTTTTAAGCTGTGTTGAAATTAGTATCTTAAAAAAAAATAAGCAATGGAAAGTGAGAATATTTTTGCTCCAGGATCAGGTCAGAAGGGCTTAGTGGGTGAAGGCATTGTTATGAAAGTATACTTGTAGGAAATATATTTTATTTGTGAACAAATTTTAATTTTGTTTAGGTTATTCTACTAGTCAGAATCACTGAGAGCCCTTTCACCTTGTAGGATAAATCAAACTAAATAGATCTTTTTCTTCTGACCAATTCAAATCCATGGACAACACAAAATGGATTTATTTAACAGAACACGTGGACCTCAAAAGAACATTGAACTTAATCATTGCCCCAAAGGCTATAAAATTGCTAATTAACTGATACATTCTATCAGAACCACGTAAGTCCGAGCTAATTAAAATGCTTCCAATTTTCACACTGGTGACAAACTTTTGACAGTTTCCCACAAAATATTTATGCCACCTTCATGCCATTTACAACCTTTTTATCTAATGCCTAATTTCAACTTTATATTCTGTCTTTTAAATGTGTGGCTCCACTTTTCTTTTTATCTTTGATTTTCAATTAAGTTTCTCTAGCTATGAAGGTGTTACAGAGAGTGAAGACTGCAATCAAAATTTAGTATAATTCTGCATAAACACTGAATATCAATAAACATTTATATTAAGAACCATAGAGCATTTTTCAGTAGTTCTTGTACTCAGGTGCTCACAGTTAAATGAAATATTAATGATTTTAAAATACAACCACAGTTTGCATATTCAATCTCTGTTTATAAAGGCCCAGGGAAGTGAAGAGTGGAGACAATTATCCTGATTACTCAAAGCCAAGTTTTTGCTAGAATGTAAAATTTTCTAAGGGCTTCCAAATAAGGTAAATACATTTATTATGCTCCCAGGATCAGAAGTTTAATTGACCATTTATCGGCTAAAGTTGATTCTTTAAAACCTTCAGTCAAATTCCAGGATTAATTGGTGAGCTCTAACCTGGAGGGAAACTGAGGACTTGGAATGGAGTGAAAAATTGCACCAATGCTTGTAACTCTATGCCCCAAGGAAGGCCAGCATGGGAATTTTATACTTGGATTACATGGCGTGTCAAGGCCCGTGGAATCCATGGCTCCAGATGTTCTTTGAGCCTGCCTGAAAGTTCTTGCCGTCCTTTTCTCTGAGTATATTTGGTGAGTCGGGCTGTGATGATTAATTTTTTTGTGACATCTTGGCTAGCTTTTGGTGCCCAGCTGTTTGGTCAAACAGCAGTCCACATGTTTCTGTGAAGGTGTTTTTTAGATGTGAGTAACATTTAAATCAGTAGACTGAGTTAAAACAGATTCCCTTTATAACGTGCTTGGGCTTCATTCAATCAGTTATAGTCCATAAGAGAATAAAAAGACTGAGGTACCCCAAGAAAGAAGATATTCTGCCTTGGGATAGCATTGCAGATTTTAGACTTTCTAGACGCCACAGTCATGTGAGCCAATTGCTTAACAATATCCCTCTCCCTCTTTCTCTCTCTTTAAATATATATTTTTATATATTACATATATTATATATTACATATATGTTTATATATCTTATATATTACATATATTTTATATATACTAATATATAATATAAAATATATTTATAAATATAATTATGTATACATATATAATACATATGTTATGTATTTATATATTATATATGTATATATAAATTTATATGTAAATACATACTTATGTAGTTGTATATATAAATGTAGATCGATGATAGGTTAGATATGAAAATAGATACACAGAGATATGCAGATTTTTTTTCTTTTCTGTAAAGAACACCAGCTAATACACAGATACTCCACCTCTAGACTGGTCCAGCTTACATGCTTCACACTCCATTAGGCATCCCTTGAGCATTTAGGTATCCATATAGCATTTCTGAGTCCTGATTCCATATAGCTATCAGATTCTCTAAGCTTTCCATTTATTCTACCATCCTCCAACAACCCAATATCCAGAGGATCCTCTGATCTTAAGGCTGAGTATACCTAATCTGAAATGAATGGAAGCAGAAGTGTTTCCGATTTCAGTTATTTTTGGATTTTAGAATATTTGCATATACATAATAAGATATGTTGGGGATTGGATCCAAGTGTAAACATAAAATTTACGTTGCATATACATATTTTACACATATTCTGAAAATAATTTTATTCAATAGTCTTAATAATTTGGGCATAAAACACAGTTTGACTGCGTTTTGACCATGACCTGTCATGTGAGGTCAGATATGGATTTTTCCACCTGGGGCATCATGTCAACTTCCAAAAATTTTTGCATTTTGGAGGATTTGGGATTTCAAAATTGTGAATTAGGGAAGCTAATCACCTGCATTGTGTCCTTACTTTCTTGGTCAATCTGCATGTTTTACCCTCAGTGATCAAAACGTAGTTCTTACCCCACAGTTCTGCCCACTGGTCAAGAGAAGATTTGCTGCCCCTCTGAACATTACCTCCTTCCAGCCCAAATCCCTCCACAATGATCATCCCAATGGGACTTTGAAGATTGTAGCCAAGGAAGCCTACGTACCTAGAATAATACTGGAACTCCCAAACAAGTGTGTATATTAAAACCAAATGAGACCTTGCCTTATAATTTTATTATAATCAACATTTCTTTGGAACAGAGGTACTAGGACATATCTACTAATTAGGTAGATTAACGTAGACATAATAGTGTACAAGTTAGATTTTTTTTTAAAAAAGGCTGTTAACCCTTAAATTAGAAAGTGCTATAGAGGTTAGCTTTATAAATGCTACAGACAAAAACTTTTTCACCTTTGCTTTATAATCTGTTTGCAAGTCAAAAGCTTTATGGCAATAATCTATAACATAAATATCTAGGTATAATTTTTTAAAAATTCAATCCATAGAAAATTTTTTAATTTCAATATTGCTTTCAAACAAGTATGTTCATATTTGAAGAGGCTGTAGTGTAAAAGACACTTTGATAACTTTAGTTTGTTTTCTATTAATACTAACTGAAAACTAATGTTAATGATAAAGGCTATTTATGCTTATTTTTATTTGTTTCTTAAGTTTTGAAGGATGTGGAAGGTAGGGAAATTCAGCAAATAGACCAAAATCTGACAAAACCACATAAATTAATAACAATAACAGCAAGGACATATCATAGGCCAGGCTTTTAAAAACTTCTAATTGCCAGACCTCACCCCCAAACTGTTAACGTATTCACATTAATCTCAACTGGGAGGACTTAAGAAATGACTTATAAGTTCTCTGGATCTCTGGCATGGCACAGATCTGAGAGCATACAAGCCTTCAAGTGTCAGAAGGAAGCCCACCAAAGCAAGTGTGTGGGAGCTAGCAATGATGGTCATGGTCTGTGAAAACCCAAGTGAGGGATGGCAAACAAAGGCTCATTCCAAGGTGATAGCCACTCCAGTGGCAGCATTCTGTCCCAGCCACAGTGAGGAGCAGCCATACATCATCCAAAGCACTCTGGGCTACCTCTCGGAAAAGTGATGGAAGTCACAAAATTCTGAATGAGATGCATACAAACTGGAAAAGCTGGGCGCCAATTATAGGGCATTCAGGAAGACAGTGTGATCATGAATTACATGAGAATCATTTCTAAAAAAAAGAAATTTAAAAACATTAACAGCATCTTGATGGTATCTATTATAGAGGAAAAAAGAATAGAAAGCTTTTAAAATAGTTTATTCCCTTTCTTTGGTATAGCTGTTTTGCCCTTTTTTGGACTGATACTAGTAATAAAAGAGATTTATATTTATAGATGCTATAGACATCAATTAAAGGTCACTGCTCTTGAGTGAAATTTCTCAGTGAAAAAGTATTCTCAGCAGAATAAGTGTTTGTATCTCTTAAAAGTCATCATATTTTAATTCCAAAAGAACAATTGTAGTAAGTTAGCACCCATCTGTTTCACTTCAAAAAATTTAACTGGCTTGGATATGAACTTCAAAAGTCATAAAAGATTATCATCATAAAAAAGAACATATGGATGTCCAAAGACTGATATCAACACCCACAAATAACATTCAAACTGTGTGATTCTATGCAATTTGCAAACAAATATGTACATATATTTAAATCCATTTTGTATAATATTCAATTTAGCAGCACATGTATAAATAGACTCATTCTAATATTTTTAAATTGTAATCAATTGGGATTAGTTTTTCGAGTCAAGTTTTAATGCAAAATAATTTTGTGTAATTATATTATTTGTCAACATCTAATGTTGAGGTAATGTTGACACTAGCTTTTGCAGAGTATAAATACGAAAGAGAAAAAGGTCCAGTGTGCAGGGAATTTATAATCTAATTTGGGAATACATGAATTACAGATTAGAGATACAAGCTCCAAATTACAAAAGACATCATTAAGAAAAGATCAAAAACAGCAAAACATCAGTACTAATAGTGAGAAGCAAGTTTCTGAGCTACCATAAAGCAAAAATTTAAAAAATAAAAAATAAAGAAAATGATTACAGAAAGGCTTTATCAGCATTTAATTTACAAAGTGAAAATATATAATGGAGGGGAAATAGACATTAATGAGGTAAAGGAAATTGGACTTCATTGATTAACAAACTAACTAAATAGGTAACTAGCCATGCGTATATATGTTTGGAATCAAGAACCTATATAGAGTTTGAATCAGTAGTCATCAATAATGTATATTTATTTAATACAATGAAAGGCACGTTCTAACTAATAAAAGATTTGGGCTGATAAAAATGTGCGATTTATGCCTTACATGATCAAAAACTTTCAAGGAATCATATAACCACAAATAACATTTAACAAAAAAAGTATCTGAGCATATTTTTGTGATCTTGGAGTCAACTCAGTTCCTTAAAGTCATTGTTATACACACCAGCGGTGTCAGTCTTCCTCAACGCTTTAATATGATCACTGTAGCATACATTCATGAAGATGTGGGTTAGAAAAATAATCAGGAATGTTGGACAACAGATAATTTTATGTGGTACTGTTATATTTTTTTTCCTATTACACTTTTATTTTATGATTTGGAAAGCTTTTTTTTAACTTTTATTTTGGGTTTGGGGATACATGTGCAGGTTTGTTTTACAGGGAAGCTCGTGTCTTGGGATTTTGTTGCAGATTATTTTGTCATCCAGGTATTAAGCCTAGTACTGCCCAATAGTTACTTTTTCTGTGCAGTTCCTTCCTCTAACCCTCAAGGAGGCCCCAGTGTCTGTTGTTACTTTCTCGGTGTTCATGGGTGCTCATCACTTAGCTCCCTCTTACACGTGAGAACATGCAGTATTTGGTTTTCTGTTCCTGTGTTAGTTTGCTAAGGATAATGACCTCCAGATCCATTTATGTTCCCACAAAAGACATAATCTCATTCTTTTTTATGGCTGCAAAGTATTCCATGGTGTCTATATACCACCTTTTCTTTATCCAGTCTGTTACTGATGGGCATTTAGGTTGATTCTAAGTCATTGCTATTTTGAATAGTGTTGCAATGAACATTCCTGTTCATGTGTCTCTATGGAAGAACTACTTATTGTCCTCTGGGTATAAACTCAGTAATGGAATTGCTGGGTCAAATGGTAGTTCTGCTTTCAGTTCTTTAAAGAAAAGTCATACTGCTTTCCACAATGGTTGAATTAATTTACACTTCTAAAAACAGTGTATAAGTGCTCCCTTTGCTCCACAACCTCACCAGCATCTGGTATTTTTTAACTTTTTAATACTAGTCATTCTGACAGGTGTGAGATGGTATCTCATTGCAGTTCTGATTTGCATTTCTCTAATTATCAGTGATATTGAGGTTTATAAAATATGCTTGCTGGCCACATGTATGTCTTCTTTGAAAAGTGTTTGTTCATGTTCTTTTTTGAGACAGAATCTTGCTCTGTCACCCAGGCTGGAGTGCAGAGGTGCAGTCTTGACTCACTGCAGCCTCCCAGGCTCAAGCAATCCTCCCACCTCAGCCTCCTGAGTATAGCCAGGACTACAGGTGTGCACCACCATACCTGGCTAATTTTTTGTATTTTTGGTAGAGTTGAGATGTTATCATGTTGCCGAGGCTGGTCTTGAACTCCTGAGCTCAAGCAATCTGCCTGCCTCAGTCTCCCAAAGTGTTGGGACTACAGGCATGAGACACTGTGCCTAGTCCTTTCCTCACTTTTTAATAAGATTGTTTGGATTTTTAATTTTTTGTAAATTTGTTTAAGTTCCTTATGGATGCTGGATATTAGACCTTTGTTAGATGCATAGTTTGCTAAATTTTTCTTTTATTCTTTTGTCTGTATACTCTGTTGATAGTTTCTCTTGCAGTACAGAAGCTGTTAACTAGATCTAGATCCCATTTGTCAGTTTTTGCTTTTGTTTGGTTGCTTTTGGTGTCTGTGCCATGAAATCATTGCCCATTCCCAAGTCCAGAGTGGTATTGCCTAGGTTGTCTTTCAGGGTTTTTATACTTTCAGGTTTTACCTTTAAGTCTTTAATCAATCTTGAGTTAATTTTTGTATATGGTGCCAGAAAGAGGTCCAGTTTCAATCTTCTGGATATGGCTAGCCAGCTATCCCTGCGCCATTTGTTGAATAGCGACTCGTTTCCACATTGCTTGTTTTTGTCAGCTTTATTGAAGATCAGACGGTGGTAGGTGTTTGGCCTTATTTCTGAGCTCTCTGCTGTTCCACTGGTGTATGTGTCTGTTTTTATATCAGTGTCATGCTGTTTTGGTTAGTTTAGTACAAGCATGATGCCTACAGCTTTCTTCTTTTTGCTTAGAACAGCCTTGGCTATTCCATTTCTTTTTTGGTTCCATATGAGTTTTAAAATAGTTTTTTTCTAGTTCTGTGAAGAATGTCATTGGTAGTTTGATAGGAATAGCATTGAATCTATAAATTGCTTTGAGGAGAAGAGCCATTTTAATGATATTGATTTTTTCTATCTGTGAACATAGGTTGTTTTTTCATTTGTTTGTGTCGTCTCCGATTTCTTTGAGCAGCGTTTTGTAATTCTCATTGTATAGACCTTTGATCTCCCAAGTTAGCTGGATTCCTAGATATTTTATTCTTTTTGTGGCAATTGTGAATGAGATTGTGTTCTTGATTTGCTCTAGGCTTGTCTATTGTAAGTGTATAGGAATGTTAGTGATTTTTGCACATTGTGTATCCTGAGACTTTGCTGAAGTTTTTTATGAGCTGAAGAAACTTTTGAGCTGTTTGGGGTTTTCTAGATATGACATCATGTCATCTGCAAATAGGGATAGTTTGACTTCTTCTCTTTCTATTTGGATGCACTGTATTTCTTTCTCTTGTCCAATTGCCTTGGCCAGGACTTCCAATTATATGTTGAATAAGAGTGGTGAGAGAGAGCATCCTTATTTTGTGCTGGCTTTCAAAGGGAATGCTTTCAGCTTTTGCCTATTCAGTGTGATATTGGTTGTGGGTTTGCATAGATGGCTCTTATTATTTTGAGGTACGTTCTTTCACTACTTAGTTTATTGAGAGTTTTTAACATAAAAAGATGTGAAATTTTATCAAAAGCCTTTTCTGTATCTATTGAGATAATTATGTGATTTTTGTCTTTAGCTCTGTTTATGTGAAGAATCACACTTACTGATTCAAGTATTCAAGGTTAAGGCCTACTTGATCATGGTTGGTAAGCTTTTTGAAGTGCTGCTAGACTTGGTTTGCCAGTATTTTTTTGAGGATTTTTCCATCAATGTTCATCAAGGATATTGACCTGAAGTTTTTCTTTTTTGTTGCATCTCTACCAGGTTTTGGTATCGGGATGATGCTGGCCTCTGGAATGAATTGGGAAGGAGTCTCTCTTTTTTGTGTTTTTGGAATAGTTTCAGCAGAAATACTGCCAGCTCTTCTTTGTGTATCTGGTAGAATTCAGCTATGAATCCGTCTGGTCTTGGGTTGTGTCGGTGTTGTTGTTAGGCTATTTATTACTGCTTCAATTTCAGAGATTGTTATTGGTCTATTCAGGGATTTGATTTCTTTCTGATTTAGTACTGGGAGAGTGTATATGTTCAGGAATGTATTCATTTTTTTTGAGATTTTCTAGTTTATGTGCATAGAGGCATTAATAATATCCCTTGATCGCTGCTTGTATTTCTGTGGGGTCAGTGGTAATATCCGCCTTTGTCATTTCTGATTTTGTTTGTTTGAATCTTCTCTGTTTTCTTCTTGATTAGTCTAGCTGGAGGTCTATCTATTGGATTACTTTTTTCAAAAACCAGCTACTGGATTTTTTGATATTTTGAATGGTTTTTGGTGTCTCTATCTCCTTCTGTTCAGCTCTAATTTTGGTTACTTCTTGTCTTCTCCTAGTTTTGGAATTGGTTTGCTCTTGGATCTCTAGTTCTTCTAGTTGTGATGTTAGGTTGTTAACTTGAGATCTTTCTAACTTTTCATGTGAGCATTTAGCACTATACTTTTCCTTCTCAAAACTGCCTTAGTTGTGTCCTAGAGATTCTGGTACATTGTACCTTTGTTTTCATTAGTTTCAAAGAACTTCTTGATTTCTGCCTCAATTTTATTATTTACCCAACAGTCATTCAGGAACAGGTTATTCAATTTCAATGTAACTGTATGGTTTTGAGTGCATTTCTTGGTCTTGATTTCTAATTTGATTATGTTGTGTTTTGAGAGATGGTTTGTTAGGATTTTAGTTTTGTGTATTTTCTAAGAAGAGTGTTTTACTTCAGATTATGCTATCAATTTTAGATTATAGGCGATGTAACAATGAAAAGAGTGTATACTCTCTTGGCTTGGGGTGAAGAGTTCTGTAGACGTCTATCAGGTCCATTTAATGCAGTGCTGAGTCCAGATCTTGAATATCTTTGTTAATTTTCCATCTTGATGATCTGTTTAATATTTTCAATGGGGTGTTAAAATATCCCACCACTATTGTTTGGGTATCTAAGAACTTGCTTTACGAATCTGGATGTTTCTGTTTTGGGTGCATATATATTTAGGATAGTTGGATCTTCTTGTTGGATTGAACTTTTTACCATTATGTACTGCCGTCTTTGTCTTTTTGGATCTTTGTTGGTTTACAGTGTGTTTTGTCAGAAATCAGGATTGCAACTCCTGCTTTTTCTGTTTTCTATTTGCTTGGTAGAATTTTCTCCATCTCTTTATTTTGAACCTATGTGTGTCATTGCATGTGAGATGGATCTTTTGAAGACAGCATACCAATGGGTCTTGGTTCTTTATTCAGCTTGCCACTCTTTTTGGTTGAAGCATTTAGCCAGTTTACATTTAAGGTTAGTACTGAGATACGTGGATTTGATCCTGTTATCATTATGTTAGCTAGTTATTATGCAGAGTTGTTTATGTGGTCGCTTTATAGTGTCACTGGTCTGTGTACTTCAGTGTGTTTTTGTAGTGGCTGATAATGTTATTTCCTTTCCATAGTTAGTGGTTCCTTCAGGTGCTCTTGCAAGACAGGCTTGGCGGTAACAAATTTCTCAGCATTTGCTTGTCTAAAAAGGATCTTATTTCTCCTTTGCTCGTGAAGCTTAGCTTGGGCAAATCTAAAACTCTGGCTTGGAATTTATTTTCTTTAAGAATGATGGCCTCCAATCTTCTGGCTTGTAGGGTTTCTGCTGAGAGGTTTACTGTTAGTCTGATGGGCTTCCTTTTGTAGGTGAACCTGAACTCTTTAGCTGCTTTTAATGTTGTTTTCTTTTATTTTAACCTTAGAGAATATGCTGATTATGTGTCTTGAGGGTGATCTTCTTGTAAAGTATCTTCCTGGGGTCTCTGCATTTCCTAAGTTTGACATTTGGTCTCTCTAGCTAGATTGGGGAAGTTCTCATGGATGATATTGATAGCGACAGGGGGCAGAGAAACTCCAGGCATGATAGGCCGGGTCCCCGTCAAAACCCCACCCTCAAACTGAAAAGCCTGAAACCCTCAACCCAAAGTGACAACTTCTATTCTTATTTTCCCACTCAAATGTTGCCTTTTTCTAAACTATCTGAGGCCCGCCCCATCCCCATTCTGTGCTTATAAAGGCCCCAGACTCAGCCAGTACAGAGGAGAAGCAGTTGGATGTTGGGGACAATGGCTGAACATTGGAGGGAAGGGGCTTGACTTCAGAGGGACAGCTTGATGGTGTAACTTTGGAGAAGAATCTGGCTGGAGATAGCTGGACCTCAGGGTAATATAACCTACCAACTCTGTCCCCTTCCCATTGAGAGCCACTTTCATCAGCATGAAAATCCCCCGCATTTACCATCCTTCAATTAATTCATGTGACCTTATTTTTCCTGGACACTGGACAAGAGCTTGGGAGCCACAAGTATGGATAAAAAAAGGCTGTCACACTCACCCTTTGCCCTCGCTGGCAGAGGGCCATCACCTCACACAAAAAGGCAGAGGGCCCACTAAGTTATTAACACTTAAGCCATCTGCAGATGGCAGAGCTAAAAGAGCTCTGTAACATGACTTCTGGGGCTTCAGGTTTCGCAGGCACCTGGCCTGAATGCCACCACGTGGCCTGCAGTTTGCTTCTGCCAGCACCCAAAAGCACTCACTCTGGTTCCTGCACTCACTCACCTGTGCACTCCCTCCCCTGAAGGGTGGAACACAACAGGTCCCAGCGAGCAGAGTTTGATCCTGCTGGCGTCAAAAGGGTTCTAGCGCTCGTGCACTCCAGATCCTGCCTTGTTTGCTTGCATTCCTTCCTGCAAGGAGTTGAGACTGGTGGGTTAAGTAAACAAGCCACCCCTGCCACAAGTCCCACAAAGGGGTCAGGGAAATATCCTGCTTCAATATCCTGAAATATGTTTTCCAAATTGGTTGCATTCTCCTCATTTCTTTCAGAGACACTAATGAGTCATAGATTGGGTCTTTTTACATAATCTCATATTCTTCAGAGGTTTTGTTCGTTCTTTTTCATTATTTTCTCTATATTCTTGTCTTACTGTCTTACTTCAGAAAGCCAATCTTCAAGCTCTGAGATTCTTTTCTTCACTTGGTCTATTCTGCTATTAATACTTGTGATTGTATTATGAAATTCTTGTAGAGTGTTTTTTAGCTCTAACGGGTTGGTTAAATTCTTTTCTATAATGACTACTTTGTCTGTCAGCTCCTGAATTGTTTTATCATGATTTTTAGCTTCCTTGGATTGGGTTCCAATGTACTCTTGTAGCTAAGTGATTTTTTTTCTATCCATATTCTGAATTATATTGCTGTCATTTCAGCCATCTCAGCCAGGTTCAGTACTCTTGCTGGAGAGGTGATGCAGTCATTCAGAAGAAAGAAGTAACTCTGCCTTTTTGGGTTTTCAGAGTTCTTGCTCAGATTCTTTTGCACCTTTGTAGGCTGATCTACCTTCAATCTTTGAGATTGCTAACCTTTGAATTGGGTTTTTTTTTTTCTTTTATCCTATTTGATGGCCTTGAGGGTTTGATTATAGCATAAGGTGGATTCAGCTGACTGGTTTCATTTCTGGAAGATTTTAGGGGGCCAACGCTCAGTTTTCATCTCCTGTACTGTGTGCTCTAACTCTGCGAGACTTGTATTGGGCTCTGACTGTGTTCTCTGGCTCCTCGAGGTTAAGAATCTACTGCACTGTGGAGATCGAGGTGCTACTGGACCAATGGTCACTGAACTCTGATGGGTGACGTCAGCCAAAGTGTTTCGGAGTGTCTTGACAGCAGGTTCCATCCTCCTCCCCACGTGCCAACAGCAGTGGTAGTGGTAGCTGCGGTAAAGTGCTAGTGGCTGCAGAGGGAGGTTGCCTCCCTGCGGGCATTCACTACAGTGATGGAGACAATGTAGCTGTGTGCAGGTCAGGGGCCCTGCTGGTGACTGTGTGCACAATGGCCCTAGATAGTGTTGGCTCAGGGGCAGGATGCTGACAGGCACAAGTCTGGGTGCCTTCTCTGTGCCACACATGCAGGAGTAATCACCCAGGACTGGGAAGGATCCACTGTTCTCTGTGCAGTGTCAGCACAAAGGTGGTGAGAGACAGGACTAGCTGGATTTCCTAGGCCAATTAAGAATTCCTAAACCTAGCTGAGAAGGTGACCGCATCCACCTTTAAACACGGGGCTTGCAACTTAGCTCACACCCGACCGATCAGGTAGTAAAGAGAGCTCACTAAAATGCTAATTAGGCAAAAACAGGTGGTAAAGAAACAGCCAATCATCTATTGCCTGAGAGCACAGTGGGAGGGACAATGATCGGGATATAAACCCAGGCATTCGAGCCAGCAATGGCTACCCTCTTTGGGTCCCCTCTCTTTGTATGGGAGCTCTGTTTTCACTCTATTAAATCTTGCACCTGTACTCTCTTCTGGTCCATGTTTGTTATGGCTCAAACTGAGCTTTCACTCGCCATCCAACACTGCTGTTTGCCGCTGTCACAGATCCGCCACTGATTTCCATCCCTCAGGATCCGGCAGAGTGTCCGCTGTGCTCCTGATTCAGCGAGGAGCCCATTGCCACTCCCAATCAGGCTAAAGGCTTGTAATTGTTCCTGCATGGCTAAGTGCCCAGGTTGGTCCTAATTGAGCTGAACGCTAGTCACTGGGTTCCACGGTACTCTTCCGTGACCCACGGCTTCTAATAGAGCTATAACACTCACCACATGGCCCAAGATTCCATTCCTTGGAATCTGTGAGGCCAAGAACCCCAGGTCAGAGAACATGAGGCTTGCCACCATCTTGGAAGAGGCCTGCCACCATCTTATGAGCTCTGGGAGCAAGAACCCCCTGGTAACAGTGGGGTGCTGATGGGAGTGGAGCCAGCTGGTTTTGTGGTTGCCAAGTCTATGTCTGCAATGTTGGTCAGCAGGGGCAGGGGATTGGACTGCACACCTGTGTGCTGGCAGGGCATGAAAAGCAAAACCTGCCCAAGTAGACACACACCAGTAAAGTGATATTGGGAGTTATTGAGGGTCCAGGGGAAGCTGCAGTATGTGGAGGTAGAGTGCAGGCTGGGGCTTGGCCATAGGGGTCAAGCTGAAGCTCTCTGCCACTCAAGAATGGTCTACCAGCACAGAAGCTATAGTGTGGGTCCCCAGGAAATCAGAGACTGCCCTCCAAGCAGGTGTAGCCAGGCTGGGGTCCCAGGAGAGGCCAGCAAACCAAGGGCTGTTCATGTTGAACTGGCCGCATCTGATAGGTAAGATCTCCCTGCAGAGATCTGGTCCAACAGTTTCCCTAGGGCTAAAATCTTCTATGAGAGCAGTTTGAGCCTGCGAGAGGGCTGTCCCTAACTCTGCTCCACTACAGAGGCTCCCGCATCAAACTCTCTGGGCTCTACACCAATTGTCTTGCTGCCTCTCTCACTTCTCTAAGCCACCCTCCTTGCCAACTTGAGTGTCCCTGTGGTGGTCAAGAGGTTTCTCATGCCCATCTGCCTGAGGCCAGTGGCAAGAGCAGGTTGCTTCTTGCTAGTCCAACTCACCGGTTTCCCTGGAGCCATCGTGAGTTAGGAATGAGTCTTGGTGTGTGGTAGCCCCGAGCAGGATTTCCAGCTTTCTCCCTCTTCAGCCAAGGTTCTATCTTCCCTCAGTTGACTCTTGGTAGTTTCCGTCTGAAGATCTGTTAGGAGGACACCAGTCGTCTTGGTCCCTCGGTGGGAGCTTTTACACCTGGCTGCATCTAATTGGCCATCTTGCCCTCCCCTATGTTTTATCTTTTTATCCTGTCTAACTGAAACAAAATTAATAGCTTGCAAAAAGTTATATAATTAAATGAGATTTTTTTGTGATTAACTCAAGTTTTTCAAATTAAATGTATTTTTAGAGTAGTTTTATGGAAAAAATATAAACAAAATAGACAGTTATCATATATCCCATACCCAGTTTCTCCTATCATTCACATCTTGCATTAGTATGGTACATTTGTTACAATTAGTGAACCATACTGGCCATTGTTATTAACTAAAGTCCATACTTTACTCATATTTCCTTAGTTTTCATATAATGTCCTTTTTCTGTTCTAGGATCCCATCCAGGACACCATATTATATTTACTCTTCATGTCTCCATAGGCTGTGACAGTTGCTTAGAATTTATTAGTTTTTGATGATCTTGATGATTTTGAGTATTTCTAGCTAGGTATTTTGTAGAGTGACCCTGAATTGGAATTTGTTTGACGTTTTTCTCATGATTTGAATGGGATTATGGATTTTGAGGAGAAAGACCACAAAGTTAAAGTCCTACTTCTATTTCTTCAAATCTTATCAGGGGAACATGATATGAATTTGAGCACCTGGCAGGCATTTTTGTAACATTTTTCATTATAAAGTTAAACCTCCCTTTTCACACCGTATGCAGAAACTCACTATGTGCAGCCTATACTTAAGGAATGAAGAATTGTGCCTCATGGGCTTGAAGGTTGATTGTCTACACAAATTGTTTCGAATTCTTCTCTATGGGAGATTTGTCTCTTCTCCCCATTTATTTATTCATTCAACCTTTCATAGACAGATTCATGGACATTTATTTCATATTTTGGGTTACGATCCAATACTACATTATTCATTTTGTTGTTCTAATTGTTCCAGTTTAAATGGGACATCTTAAGTTAGACAATTAAGTTGAAAGAAAATAAAAGAAGTAAAAGTAAAACCAAGACATAGGTCAGCAAATAAAATAGATTTTACTTTCAATAATACTTTATTCTTACAATTCATTTTATGCATTCATTTCGTGATTGCTGACCTGATTGTACATAGAAAATCTGCTATATTAAGAAACCTAAAATGCATTTGATTTCTTTCTTCACTCTAAAGTAATGGATACTTATTTAACAAATTCAACAATGTAGTAAAGTAGAAGAAAGCAAATAATCACTCATAGTCCAACTGCCCAGAGTCAACCACTATTATAATTTTGCTGTATTATCTGCCATTTTTTCTAGTCATAGGTTTTATTTCTGTTCTGTCATGTTCTGAATATTTTAATTATTCAAAATTATATTTTATAATTTTCATAATTTTGTAAAGATATTTTACCAAAAGTTAACAAATTCAATAATTTGTATCATGATAAATTTATGACACACTAAACAATAAGCATTTGCCATGGAATATCCCAGTGAATGAAAGCTACATGGTATAATTAACCATGCTCCTGCTTTGGATATTGTCTTTTGCTATTCTCCATAACCCCACACAATAGCCAGTAACACTCAAGTAGGATTTCTGCCAGAAATATTACTTTCATCCCTTCTACTTAACATTGCAAAATAGAGCAACATCAGAAAAAGTCAACTAAACAGAGGCTTAAACAAAGCTGAGAGTGTTGTAATATTTGGGAAAAATACGTAAGTTTCACTCAAAACAAGACGATCTCAAACTCATAAACAAGACAACCAATAGATACCAGCCCTCAGCTGACAGAGATGTTAGAATTCTCTAACACACATTTTAGAGACATCATAAAATTTCTTCAAAAAGCAATCATAAACATGCTCGAAACAAATTACAAATTTGTTTAAGATTGTAGCAAAGAAGAAAGTCTTAGCAAATAAACTATACAAAGAAGAACCAAACGAAAATCATTGAAAACATAACAACAGATTTTTAAATAATCCAGAAATCAAAAAGAAAAAATCTCAAAAAACCCCAATAAATATGGTACAGAATAAAAACAAAACTATAATGAATCAAAATTTGTGAGACATAGCTAAAGCAGTGCTGAGAGGGAAATGTACAGCTCTAGATGCATACATTAGAAAAGAAGCAAAGTCTTAAATCAGTAATGTAAGCTTGCAATTTCAAGGACCTAAATAGAAGAAAAAAATGAATCCATATTAAACAAGAGGAAGAAAATAACAAAGGAAAACAAATTAATGAAATTTAAAACTGAAACTGATAGTGAAAATCAGTGAAACAAAGCGCTGGTTCTTTGAAAACATCAATAAAATCAACAAACCTGTACAAAATTTACAAAGAAAAAACATAAAAGACATAAATTACCAATAATATCTGATAGCAAACAGAACCATCATTACAAACCTGTGGACATGAAAAGGTGATAATGTATGAACAACTTTACACACATAAATTTGGCTACTTAGTGGAAATGGACCTTTTTTTTCTTCAAAAACACAAACTATCACGACTCACTCAATGTGAAATAGATAATTTAAATAGTCTTATAACTATTAGTATTGAATTTGTAATTTTATAAACTCCTTCGAAGGAAATCTATAGCATCAGTTACTTCCACCAGAGAATTCTATCATATGATTAAAGAAGAATCAACACAATTCTACACAATTGCTCCCATAAACTAGAATAGATAGCACTTCTTAATTATTATTACCCTGATAACAAAACCATACAAAGAAATACAAAAAAGTTACAGACCAATATTCCTCATGAATACATATATAAAAATTCTTATGAAACTATGGCAAATAGAGTTCTGCAATATATAAAAAGAATTATACATCATGACCACTTGGAGTTTAGCCCATCTACGCACTACAGGTTCAATATTCAAACATCAAGCAATGTGATTCGCCATAAATTAAGAGTGTAAAAATGAAAACATATGATTACTATCAATTGGTGCAGAAAAATTATTTGACAAAATTCAGCATATTCACTCTGCAAAATAGAAAGAGAGATAAGCTACCTTTACTTGTTTGAGTATCTATGCAAAATTTACAACCAATATTACACTTAATGGTAAAAGATGGAATGCTTTCTCCTTAAGTTAGGGAACAAAGTTAGATTTTCACATCTCATCACTCTTATTCAACAAGCTGCTGAAGTTCTAGCCAATGTGATGAGGCAAGAAAAGAAACTAAGAGGCATAGAATTCAATAGAAAGAAATAAAACTATTCTTATTTGCAGTGGACTTGACTGTCTATATAAAAATGAAGAGCATATTGATGGTTGTCATGAGTTAAGAAGGCTGTGGCAGGGGTAGGATGCAGCTATCAAAGAGTAATATGAGAGATCCTTGTGGAGATGAAGTGTTCTGTATTTCGACTACATCAATATCTGTGTCCTCATTGTGATATTGTACTAAAGTTTTGCAAGATGTTACCATTGAAAAAATGAATAAAGGTTACATGGGATTTCTTTATATTATTTCCTGCAACTGCATGTAGATCTACCATTATCTCAAAATTAAAGGTACAGTTCTGTAACCACCACCAGAACCAGGATATAGACTAGTCCCCTCACTCCCAAAATTTCCTCATGCCACTTTGCTGTCAATTCCTCCCTTTATTTGCAGTCCTTGGCAACCACTGTTTTCTGTTTCTATATTTTTGCCCAATTCAAAATATTCTATAAACTGAATTATGTAGTATGTTGCATTTTAATTATGACCTTTTAAACTTAGCATCTCTTCCTCTCTCACTTTCTGTTCCCATTCACCTTCTCAGCTTGCAGCCCCATTCAGACATGTAATTTATCCTTCCCTTATTCAGATCCTATACAAGCAGTGGCCTCATAGGTTTTTTTAAGGCCTCTATACAACACACTTTGATTTGAAAAAGTGAATGAGCACATTTGCAAAGTTCATTAAAGTAATGCTCAGATATACCTTGCTGTATATTGTGCAGATGATAATAAATTGGACTTTAATAATTTGTGTTCTTTAAGAATCCCCAAAATACTTACTATGATTTCCCATCATGCTAAATACATTGCTGACTTCATTCCTTGAAAATTCATCCATGATACAATGTTTGCCTTTTATGAGTAGATAAAGAACATTATTTTATATTAAACAGATACTACATCATACTTGCAGAGTTAGATTTCTTAGAAATGATTATTCTTGACTACCATTTTTGAGAACACATTGTACTTCTTTATACACCAAGTGTGTTTTTCTACTTCATGTATCTAGTTGGTTGAACAACGTGGAACTTTACAGTCTAAGTTCTTAGTCAGAATGTTCCAAAAATCTATTTTCAAAAATGCGATTTTAATCAAGAGCAGAGTGTAAATTGATCTACAAGTACGTCTAATGAACTTATCAAAATTTCATAAGATTTAGTTTCTAACTTGGTACTTTGAGCATTCAGCACTACCTTCAACAAAATGCTAGGGCTTATTCACTAGCAGATGAAGTTCTCAACACTTTGATGTATAAAATATTCTTGCTTGTCATTGATCTAAACGTCTTTTTAAGTCATCTTCCGAATACTCAAATGTATTCAATTTACCTTGCAGGTATTTATTAAACATCAAAATCATTGCTAAATATGAAGAAGGCCTGGAGAAATACAAATAAAAGACTCAGTGTCTCTCTTCAAGGAACTCAGCCTAGTAGAGAAGATAAACAATTAAATAAATGATTTACTATATTTTGAGTGGCAGATGTTTCCAAGGGGCTCTCAAATAGCACAAAGGAGGGATATGTTAGATATTCTAGCTGCCAGATATTTTAGATCTGATACCCTTGCATGGAGATGTAACTAATAATAAATACCGAGAAAAATTACTTCATGTAATAAAGGCGAACGTGAGCAAAAGTTTGGGATTTTAAATGCTGGAATATAATGTTGAGAGGACAGAGGGAACTTGATAAACAGGAGAGATGCTACTTGAGAGACAGATAGGATTTGAAGGGTACATTGAGGTCCTGGGTGAATTTGATGAATGTGATTTTGATTTGACTACAAATTTCATAGCAGTGTGAAATTTCTGCATCAGATCTAAGCACCCAGAAGAAAGCTGGTTAGAAAGAAAGTAATGATTGAATTTGTATGTTAATTATTGGCTAGCTGGCCAGTTATCTAATTAGAAAGAAAAGTTGTAAGTCCCACTGCTTGCACTCAGTCTCAGAAGGTGAAAGCAACCAGGTTTGTTTTATTTGATGCTTTGTCTTTTTAATAAAATTATTCTTGTGAGACTGTCAATTGCATTTTTTTTTGAGAAAAACGCTGTCCACACTATTTGTATCACTAAGGATAATGCACAGATCTCTGGTTAAATGTAGAAAAAGTCAACATCCATCCAATTTCTGGAAATCATCACAACTCTCAATAACCTGGAGCACAAGTGTTTGAAATAAAGTAGAACTAATTTAGGCTTCCCCTTGGGAACTAAAAGTGGACAAGAGAAAAAGGCAGAAGCAGAGTGTAGAAAGCAGAAAACCTAAACTCAGTAACAGGAAAAATAAATGGAAAAATGAATGACATAGGATAGAGATTACTATCTACTACAAATGTCATAGTTGACTATAGAGAACATCCTGTTTGAAAACTTGATTGAAATTATTCTTTGATATAGTTTACGTACATGGTTTTGTTTTGTGCTATTTTTCTGGAATCCACAGAAACAAAATATATGAGTAGTAAAGAAAATGTGGAGGGTTAGAATTCTGTTTACCAACATATGACAGAACTGAGCATACATTAGTGCCACCTGTGATCAACAACAAAAAAATTCTATTCTTGCTGAACATGTTTGATACGGAGAATACAAGCATAAATGGAATTTAAAGACTAGTGGATAGTTTTTGGTAGATGGTCATTAGTTCATAAATCCTTACCTAATGTGAGAAACTGCAAACTCTGTGGCTGCCAGTATAATTAGAAAACTCCTTCCTCCTTAATAGACTGGCTGTAAGAAAACTGATAGTATGTACTGAATAGGTAATTTTAATTTTCAAAACTATCAGAATATAACAAAAATGTTAATAAAAATAACCCAGTGCTTAATGATTCAAAAGACACTCCCATCTTAGGTGTTTCATGTTTATTATCAGTGATATCAGTTAATACTATACTGGAAAACTGCAGAAGAATTAACCCATAGAGGGTTAATTGAGAGGATATCAGTTAAACAACATTTTATTACAAAATATGTTAGTTGCCATGTTGAAGGTATAAAGCAACTGCAAGAATCAAATCATATACATCCCTACCGTGAACACTGAAATCACTGCATGCCTCCAATATACAATATAATAACTTACATGCTCCAGATGATTAAAAGCAACTTGGTCTCCTCATCTTGGTGCTAGACTTCTTATTGATAAGGAGTGCTCCTTATTTATCCTTATAACCCTAGTGCATAACACTGAACTTCAAATGTCAGTTCTTAATTAGTCTTTTGTCCAAACTAATTAACAAAATCAAAGAAACAAAGTATGTGCATTTGAAAATGATATTGTCCTATCCAATGGAAATTGTTGACTAGGTCACACAATAATGCAAAATGTCCTATAAATTTTTGTCCTCGGTGATATTATTAAGAAACAAATGTTAGCATGGTACAAGGCTGATGTTACTTTTTATGCAGCTGAGAGGTAGTATATTGAGAATCTAAACCACAAAATTCTAATTAACCCTGTATCTAGTCTAGGACTCAAGGTAAGTAAAACCTCTGGGGTTGCATTCTGTACATGAGTGCTACCGGCAAAACCTCCATCTGGGAAGCCTGTGGTAAAATACTCCATCCAAAAGCATAATGAAATCTAAAGGTATCTATGAGTATTCTATTCCTAATGCCTCTACAGTTTTACTTTAAATTCATGTGCTTTGATGTTTCCCAGGAGATCCAACTAAAACATAAAGAGAAAAATAAAATTGAAATGTTTCCAAAGAAACATTTGTTTCTTAAAACATGCAAACTCCATAGAATAATGTAGGTGTATGTAAAGTATCATTAGAGAAGGGCAGAGGTTCTCAGAATTTATTAGACATGGGTGGGAAGGGGCTTGTCATTATTTTTGCAGCTGTATAGTGGGTTTCAAATTCAGGTCTAAATATATTTTAATAATTAGTAATTTAGCAAAAATTTAGGGAGGCAAATGAAAGGATAACTATTGTTAAGATTGCAGAAAAATGTGGGAGTTTAATTTTGAGCAACTTAAATTTTGGAGCCATTTATTAATGTCAATAATAATTACAATTATGACAACAATTGTAAGAATTTTATAGCTTGGAAAACTAACTGCTCTAGAGTGCTGACAAATCCATCTCATTTAATTTTTTTAAAAATTTTTGTGAGTACAGAGTAGATGTATATATTTATGAGGTACATGAGATATTTGGATACAGGCATACAATGTATGACAATTTCATCAGGGTAAATGGGGTATCCATCCCCTCAAGCATTTGTTTTCTTTGTGTTACAAACAATCCAGTTGTTTACTTTTAGTTTTTAAATATACAATAAATTATCATTTACTGTAATCACCCTGTTGTGCTATCAAAGTCTAGATCTTATTCATTCTATCCAATGATATTTTTATACCCATTAACCATCCCTATTCCACCCACTCCATAACCCTTCCCAGCCTCTGGTAACCATCATTCTACTCTCTATGTCCATGAGTTCAGTTGTTTTAATTTTTAGCTCCCACAATAAGTGAGAACAGGCAAAGTTTGTTTTTCTATGCGTGCTTATTTCACTCAACATAATAATCTCCCATTCCACCTAAGTTGTTGCAAACAGGATCTTATTCTTTTTGATGGCTGAATAGTACACTTCATTGTGAATATGCACCACATTATCTTTATCTATTCTTCTGCTGATGGACACTTAGGTTGCTTCCAAATTTTGACTATTGTGAATAATGGTTGCTACAATAAACATGGGAGAGCAGTTATCTCCTCTATATACCGAGTTTCTTTCTTTTGGATATATACCCAGCAGTAGGATTTCTGGATGATATAGTAGGTCCAGTTTTAGTTTGTTGAGGAATCTCCAAACTGTTATCCACAGTGGTTATGCTAATTTACATTCTCACCAACGGTGTACAAGAGTTCCCTATTCTCCACATCCTCACCAGCATTTGTTATTGCCTATCTTGAATAACATCCCTTTTAGGTGAGGTGAGATAATATCTCATGGTAGTTTTGATTTGCATTTATCTGATTATCAATGATGTTGATCATCTTTTTATATACTTGTTTGCCATTTGTATGTCTGCTTTTCAGAAATGTCTATTCAGCTATTCTGCTCATTTTTAAATGAATTATTAGATATTTTCCTGTTGAGGTATTTGAGCTCCTTTTGTATTCTGGTTATTAGTCCCTTGTCAGAAGAAAGGTTTGAAGACTTTCCCCCATTCTGTGAATTTTCTCTTCACTTTGTTGATTGTATTCTTTGCTCTGCAGAAGATTTTTAACTTGATGTGATCTCATTTGTCCATTTTTGTTTTGATTGTGTTATGCTTGTGGGGTTTTACTCAAGAAGTCTTTGCCCCCAGACCAACGTCCTGGAGAGTTTCCCCAATGTTGTTTTTAATAGTTTCACAGTTTGATGTCTTAGATGTAAGTCTTTAATCCATTTTGATTTGATTGTTTTATATGATGAGAGACAGGGGTCTAGTTTCACTCTTCTGCATATGGATATCCAGTTTTCCTAGCACCATTTATTGAAGTGACCGTTCTTCCTGCAATGTACATTCTTGACACCTTTGTTGACAATGAGTTCACTGTAGATGTATGGACTTGTTTATGGGTTCTCCATTCTGTTCCATTGGTCTAGGTGTCTGTTTTTATGGCACTACCAAACTGTTTTGGTCACTATTGGCTTCGTAGTATAATTTGAAGTTAGGTAATGTGATTCCTCAGGTTTTGTTCTTTTTGCTCAGGATACCTTTGGTTATTCTGCAACTTTTGTGTTTCCATATAAATTTTAGGATTTTTTTTCTATTTCTGTGAAAAATGCCATTGATAATTTGATAAGGACTGTATTGACTCTGTAGATTCCTTTTGGACATTTTAACAATATTGATTCTTCTAATCCATGAACACAGAATATCTCATTTTTTGGTGTCCCCTTCAATTTATTTTATCATTGTTTTATAGTTTTTATTGTAGAGATCTTTCATTAATTTAGTTAATTCCTAGGTATTTAATTTTGTTTGTAGCTATTGTAAATGGGATTATTTTCATGATCTCTTTTTCAGATTGTTTGCTATTGGCATGTAGAAATGCTAGTGATTTTTATATGTTGATTTTGTATTCTGCAACTTTACTGAATTTGTTTATATGTTCTAATCTTTTTTGGTGGAGTCTTTAGGTTTTTCCAAATGTAAGATCCTATCATCATCTGCAAATAAGGGCAATTTGACTTCTTCCTTTCCAATGTAGATTCAATTTGTTTCTCTCTCTTATCTGATTGCACTAGCTAGGACTACCAAAATCTATCTCATTTGATTCTCCTAAAGTACTCATGTAGTAAGCTAATAAAACCTTACACTTACCATCTTACACAACTTGGAAAGAGAGTTGTAGAGGTTGCAGAGCTAGAGCCCTGCAATATACAATCAATTTGTTAACAATTGCCTGGAAAAATCCTTTGAGACTTCTCTATATTCTCAAGGTAGGAAGGCAAAACATTAACATTGCATCTTCACTTATAAGAGGGAGAAAACATTTTTTTAGTTGGTTTTTATCTCTATATTGAAAAGCCTCTGGATCCACTGCTTTTTTCCCACAACTTTTTTCATAAATCTTTATGTTTTCTTTCTTATTCTTCCTTTTACCAGGTTTTCATTCCTTCCTTATTAATTAAAAAATATTCTTGAGTACCTAGTATGGGCTAGGCACAGTTCCAGAAGTAAATGTAATATTTTTGGAGTTTCTGTTCTAATAAAATTACAGTTCACATTGAAAATTTATATTGTCTTTGCCCTCTGCAGCAAAGCCCTAAACATATTATATTTTTATAACAAATAGGAAAACATATTCTATTTATACTTTTATATAAAATATGTTTTAAATGCTAGTTATAACTTTGTGTGTCCATGTATTTCAGTATGCCTACACATGGAAATTAATAACAATATTTTGGTCATTACTTTTCTCCAATTACCTAAAAATAATGTTTTCCAATAAAAAATAAAATATGTAACATTTTCTCTAAAATTTCCATTAGCAATAACGTTATTAACAATATTTAGTATTAACAATTACATATCTTATTGTATCTTATTATTAACAAAAATAAAGATATAAAATTATACCTTTAAAGATATGCATCACCTGGGTTTGATGGCTCAGGTCTGTATCCTTAGGCTTTGGGAGGCTAGGGTGGAGGATCACTTGAGGACAAGAATTCACGATCAGCTTGGGCAACATAGCAAAATCCCATCCTTACATGAAAAATAATTTAAAGATTACCTGGATGAGGTGGCTCTCACCTGTGGTCCTAGTCATTCAGGAAGCTGAGGCCAGAGGATTGCTTAGGCCCAGGAGTTTGAGGTTACAGTGAGCAACTATTGCTCCACTGCACTGCAGCCCGAGTGAAGAGTGAGACTCTGTCTCTAAAAAAAAAAATAATAATAAATTAAAATGGATGTCATACATTCAGCAAGAAAACATAGGAAATGAAGAGATATAATAAATCATTGTAGAAGGAGAAAAGTGTGTTCTGTGAAACTTTACTCTCCCTCTGTGTGTCTCTGTCTCTCTGTATGTCTGCATGTGTTTGTATTATAAGTTGAGATATGTGCATGAATTTGTATTTATATATACACATGTACTTATATACATGTGTATACATATATAATACATACACCTATACAACATATAATATATATCATCTACATTATATATACACAAATATATACATATTCTATATAGAACATTAAATGACTAGAGGACTTTCTATTTCTATATCGGCACAGCTAACTCGACTATTCAAAGGCTGGATATTTTATTTTAGGGCTCGTTTTTTTCTCATCCTTTTTCTTATTATCGTCGGGCTTTGTGTTTCTTCTCCAATCAGTAACGTTTGCACAGAGTAAAGAAGGAGAAAGAAAAAGGTGACTTTAAGATAAATCTATTTTTCTACTTCTGAATAAAGTTTTAAAAGCAGAAAAGTTGAAAATTGGAGACTAGCGCTGAAGTTTTATCTGTGGTTGGCTTTTATCTGTGGGTGGCCTTTATCTGATCTCTAGTAGTTCCTCCCTTCTGTGGATTATAAAAATGAAGCCTCTATACAAAGAGTTTTGGGTACCGCTCATCTTACCACTTCATTCATTGGTCTAAAACTTCAGCCTCAGGAACTTAGAAGTATGTTTTAAGATTATCCAATAGTAGCTTGAGATATAGGACCACTTTTTTTGTTCATTAGATTAAAGAAGCTACCGTAAACATATCTAGCCCTGAGTGGTGGGTTATATGTGAAGTGGGTGGTGGTGATTATCTAAATTCATTGCTATGAAACTATGAAGCTCCTGAAGACATAATCTTTTCCTAAAGAATAACGAGTTTAAAATTTTTATAAACATCACTACCCTATTGCTGAGAGATTTGGTTACAAGTTTTGTTTTCTTTTTTAGAATTTTAACTCTTCAGAGAGTGACTAGGTCTTTAGTAATGTGTTTTTGTATGCAGGAACTTGCAATCCTATGATTTTTCTAAATTTATCTCCATATTGACACTCCAAGAAGTTTTATGAAAGGTCCAGTGGTTACTATAGGAATACAAATCTCTCTAGCTGAAACTCTATGAGTGGGCTTTATCATTTTCTAGAAAATAACAAGATATTAATTTGGATTTAATTGGTTCAAGTAAGGTAGTAAAAGAATTGTCACATGTATACATTATTTTTTCTTTTAAAAAATCATTTATTTATTTATTTATTACTGTTGATTTGTTTGAATCAGCATCCAAACAAGGTCTACACATGACCTCAGTCAACCTATTTTTTACACTTCTTTTCATCTTTTATTTTCTTGTAATTTATTTGCAGAGGCAAAGGGGCGGTTTGCTGCCAGGGTTTCCCATGGTCTAGATTCACTGATTGCCTGCATTTAAGGGGGAAAATACAGAACATATTTCTCCGACCTGTGTATTTACTGTCCACTAGTAATTAGAACTAGTTGCTTTATTTAATTCAAGTTTATTTTTCTTTTTTTTTCTTTTTTTTTTTTTTACCTTTTTGGCGGCACTCCTTCAGAGGTAAAGGTATACACTTATCTCAGGAGGCATTGAATGTCTGACTATCTCTTATTTTACATCATCATCATTGGTCATTATCATCATTGCTTGAATTGATTATTTCATTATGGGTTTTTAAAATACAAATATTTTGTGACTTTTTAATCAATAACATTTCTCCCTGGTGTATGTAGTAGGACTGCGCATGAAGCATCTGCTAAATTTAATTATATAGGAAGAAAATTTAAACCATTTCATGCCACAAACTATTTGACCACTGGAATGCTGTGAAAAAATATCTTTGGACTTGCACAGAAATAGGCCAGCTTAAATGATGTTTGAGTGAAAGACAGCTCCGTAATATGGGTAGAAAAATCCTGACTTGCAGATTTTTATGGAAAAATGACATAATGCACAATCAGCATTTTCTAGACCTTCCAAGTGCCCAAATTGTATGAGTTATTCATCTATTAAATCAGTAAATATTTAGAACTACTCTTATCCAAGTATTGAAGCTACAACAATGATCTGATCAAGACAGATAAATCTCCAGCCCTCATAAAGTTGCTTACATTTGATAGGAGAGAATGATATAATTTCATAATTTATGTAGTGACAAGCATAGTAAAGAATAATAAAATTTGAGAAGAGAAAATGTCACTTTAGGTCAGGATGTGAGGGGAGAACTCTCTGAGAATATAATGTTTAACAACAAGACTAAATTATGTAAAAAAAAAATAATATCTGGGGAAAAAGTGTAAGAGGTGAAATCAAATATAAAATCTCTAAAGCAGGAAGACATTTGTCCTATCCTTGGACTTGTTTGGAACCTGAGAAAATGGATTGCTGATAATGTCATTTGAGATGGTAAAAATTATAGGAACAACATGATTGAAAATGGGGGAGGGAGTCCTAGAATTAAGTTTGGGAAATGCTGAGTTTGAGATACCTCTTAGACACTCAAGTAGAAATGTCAAGTTGGTAATTGATATATGTGAATCTGGAACTCAGGAAGATATACATTTAGGGCAAAGAAGAAGAGATTGAAGAGCTGTTAGTCAAAGGATCACTGTCAAATTTCAGAGATGAGGAAGGAATACAGAATGTCTGTATCTATAAAACTAATTGTATTTTATAAGTTGGACCAAGTATAATACTGCCAAACATTCCTAATAAAAAGTGCACTTATACTTATTTCTTTCCTTAAGTATTACTTGTTTCTATATTTCCTTATGCAGAACTCTACTCCCTGGTGGGGCACCCTGTTATATTTTGAATTATTTTCTTGTCAAATGATATTCTAGATTTCCCTGTTGTCAGCAGCTAATTCATGGCTGTGTCACTTAAAGTGTGTCCTGTGGAACAACAATTTCTTCCAGGAAATTAGAGGTTCTGTGGTTAAATTTGCTCAGAAACACTATTTACGTTACCAGTATTTGGAACATCCCAGCATCTAATAGAATATTAACAAAGGACATCTCAGAAGCCCATCGAGTTTTGTCCACAAAATTATTTTTACAGAAAACACCTATTAACCTCCAATGGAACTGGTACCTAAAAAACAGTCTTCAGGAAATGCCATGGATGGATCGATGACTCTAACAGCCACACGTCTCAATCAGAAGTTCTATGAGCAGGTCCCTCTCATTCTGATGTTTTAATTGACTGATGCCCATTGATTCGAGGAGATGTAATAAGAATATTGCTAACAGAAGAACCAAAATGCTGAGGGCATTTGCATGAATCACATCTGCTCCATAAAGCCTTCACTGAGTACTCTGTCCTCATTAGTTTTTCTTGTTTCTAAACTCCCATAATATTCATAGCTCCCATAATGCTCAAATATCCAATCGCTCACTATTCAATATTTAATTGTACACAGGCTTGTATTTCTGGCTCATGGCTTCCATCCTCACAGCTAATCATTCTTCACTTCTACATGCATGGTCCGTATGTCTCAGTCAAAACAAACTCTCTGAGTCCTCAAGCCTGCCCGATGTTTGTTCAGTATTATGCTTTTGAAAAAGTTGTTTGGGATCTTCTATCCTCTTCCCATCTTGGCCAATTATTATTGGTCTTCAAAGTCTCGGTCAAATATAACTTCTGCTGCAAAACTACCCCTGTCCTTTAAGTTTTCATGATGTTTTGTATAAATAGTCACACTGTCACACTTCACACACTATTCTTTGCTATTAGTGTTAGCTTCTGAGACTATGTCTCACTAATTGATAGAAAGGGCAGAAGTGTGTCTTATTCAATTGTGTATCTATTTGGAGAGACTTCCTGGGAGACTCAATTCCCCAGGAAAAATAGAGAGAGAGAAAAAGAAAGCACATTTTTTAATACATTTATCTGTGGATGGACACTTAGGTTGTTTCTATATCTTGGTTAATGTGAGTAATACTGCAATATGCATTGAAGTGCAGGAATGTCTTCAAGATTCTATTTTTATTTCTTTTGGATATATGCCCACCAGTGGGATTGCTGGATCATATGGTAGTTTTATTTTTTTTATTTTTGAGAAACATCCATATTATTTTCCACAATGGCTGGACAAATTTACATTCCTACCAACTGTATACAAGCGTTTTCCTTTTTCCACACCCTCCCCAACTCTTGCTATTTCTTGTGTTTTTGATAATAGACAATCTAAAAGGCATGAAGTGATCTCTCATTGTGGTTTTGATTTGCATTTCCCTGATTTGGCTGCTCCCTGTTTGCAAAACCAAAAAACAAGGACAAGGGGTGGCAGGAAATTGACTTTATTTACCAAAAATAGCAGTGGGAAAATGTAACCACCCAATGGATTCACCTTGCCTGCTGCCTAGACAGAGCTAATTTATCAAGACAGGGGACTTGCAGTAGAGAAACAGTAATCCATGCAGAGCTGGCTGTGCAGGAGACTGGAGTTTTATTATTACTCAAATCAGTCTCCTGAGCATTCGGGGATCAGAGTTTTTAAGGCTATTTTGGTGGTGGTGGGGCAGAGGGGAAGACCAGTGAGTCCAGAGTGTTGATTGGTTTGGTCAGAGATGAAATCTGGGAAGTTGAAGCTGTCCTCTTGTGCTGAGTCAGTTTCTGGGTGGGCGCCACAAGATCAGATGAGCCAGTTGATCAATCTGGGTGGTACCAGCTGATCCATCAAGTGCAGGTCTGCAAAATATCTCAGGCACTGAGTGTACGAGCAGTGTAAAAGGGATTAGGATCTTGTAGTCACCAGCTGCATGACTCCTAAACCATAATTTCTAATCCTTTGGCTAATTTGTTAGTCCTACAAAGGCAGTCTAGTCCCCCATCAAGAAGGAGTTTTGTTGTTGGAAAGGACTGTTACATGGTCTTTGTTTTAAACTATAAACTATAAACCAGGTTTCTTCCAAAGTTAGTCAGCCTATGCCCAGAATGGAACAAGGACAGCTTAAAAGTTAGAAGCAAGATGGAGTCGGTTAAGTTAGACCTCTTCTACTGTCTCAGTCATAATTTTGGAAAGGTGGTTTCAAAAATGATCTAGGCTTCCTTCCTTAGAAAAACCATTTCAAATTTTTGGGCAGAATGTGATGGCTTTCAGAGGGAATTTTGGTATTTTGAGCATGCAGGAAAGGAACTGATGTTTTGTCTTGAGTTATTGTCTCATCTGGTGAATGAGCTGGCACCATTTTAAGCGTATCTAGATTATACATTAACTGTAGCCTCGAGATAATCTCCTGGTGGCTGAAAATTCCATAGGCACCTGGATTGTCTCAAGATTCAGTCGCTGAAACTTGTAAGCAAACATATAATTAGATAAGCTACCAGTGCAAGGGAGTGCCTGGTGGAAAGAAGGAGACCAAAAGTCACTATTTTACTATTAACAAAAAAAAGCCATCAAAAAAGGGAAGAAAGGAAAAAAGAACTAAGAAAACTCCTTAAAAATAGAGTACTCAGTTACAGGATCAAGAGAAAATGGGAGATATTGGTCAAAGGTATAAAATTTCAATTATAAGATTGATTAAGTTCTTGGGATCTAATGCACACATACCAATGTTAGTTAATAATACTCTATTATTTAATGTGAAATTTGATGGCAGTACATTTTCAGTGTCCTTATCACACACACACAATGATAGCTATGTGTGCTGATGGATGTTTTAAGTAATTTGATTATAGTAACTATTACACAATGTATACATATATCAAATCATCATGTTGTACACTTTGAATATATGCTATCTTATTTGTCAATTAAATGTTTTAGAACAAACAAAAAAGAGAAACAATTGTCTTGGAAAAAGGAAGCATGATCTATCAATACTTGATGACTTTGAGCAACAAATTCACATTTTTAACTAAAAAATGTGTGGGAGAGGGGCTTCAGTTTATTAATTTTAGCTCAAAATGCTATTTTAACATACAAGAAAAAAATAATTTCTTTATTCTTGATTAAACTGAATTTGATCTTCTATATAAGCCTTCCTACCCCAATCAGCAGAAAAAAAAAGAGACCGATATGTAATATGGATTCCTTTTAGTTTAATTTAATAACTTAGTTTGTTTAATGGGAGTTTTCAGTCTCTTTCAGTGCCTAGCCTCTGAAATAGCCTTCCATGTCTCCTGGACTCTTTTCCCTGAAATGTAAATGTACAGTAAGTTAGGCTCCTCATGCTTCAGGAAGTGGAAAGCAGGGGTTCCCAGAACTTGTAGTAATCCTTGGATTTCCAGAAGAATGTGTCTTTCATATCACTATGGTTACTGCATGCCTTACTGACATAGGCAAAGAAATCTGCAGCCAGCTTAACTCATAAACTGGTCTTGCTAGGCTTTGGTAACAGTTTTGGGTTGCTCCCTTGTTAACTTCACCTCAACTTAGCTTCAAGAGGTGCTTGCTCCTGGACCACCCTTTATCTTGTCTTCTGGTATGGCTGTCTGCCCACAACCTCTGATGAGAGGTCATCTTACTCTTTTACCTGTATTCCTTTGCAGGAGACCCCTAGCTCTCAAATAAGCATGTATGCTATGTGGAACTAAGAGTGGCCAGAAACACTAAGTCGTTGCAACCTCCTCTGCTTGATTACACTGCCCAACATTATTGATAAGAGAGGACTGATTACAAGATGATATTCTTCATGGCACAGTACTGGGGCACAGAAAATGATTTCCAAAATATGGCACTTCAGCCTGCTGAGTGCTTTGAAAATTGAAAGGACTTGAAGCTATGTTTGCAAAATTATGGCTGTAAGAGAAATATGACATAGTTGACTTCATCTTGCTTCTAACCTCCAAACTGTCCTTGGTCATTCCTGGGTACGGGCCAAGATAACTTTGGAAAGAAGTTAGTTTACAGCTTAATCTTAAAGCAAGGATTATAATGGCCCATCCCCAAACTAAATTCCCCATGTAAAGCTAATAAGGGGCCACAAGGTTGAGATTAGAGAGAGGCCTGAACTCTAAGATGTAAACATAGTTAAATAATAACCCCCTTTGTTCTGGAGATCACAAGATTTGTAACTTCCTGAATTACTCCTGTAGATAACGTCACTACTGTATAACCTAAGATTGGTCTTTTGATATATTTTTCAGACTTTTGCACTCTGGCAAGTGACTGACCACAGCCAGATGCATGACTCATGATTCAGCTGGTTCTGTGTGCCCCCTCCCAGAGGTGGACTCAAGCAAATGAAAACTGTTTTCTGCACAACATGATTGCATCTTCACCCAGTCAGCAGCACCTATTCTCTAGTTCCTTGCCTATCTGCTGTCCTTGAAAAACCTTAAGCTCGACACCTTCAGAAAGAACCCCCTCACCTTCACAAGAGCAGCAGTTACAAGTTGATTTCTGTCTAGAAGGTACATTAATTTCCCCTGAAAATTATTTACTCCTACATACTCCTACAATTACCCCCTCCCCTTTTCCTCTCTTCCTTGAAGAAGTATTTAAACACTGACCTCATCTGGCCTCTTTCTTTTCTTTTCCTTTTCTTCCTTCTTCTCCTTCTCTTTCTTTCTTCTTTCTTCTTTCTTCTTCCCTCTTCCGTCTTCTCTCTTCTATCTTCTATCTTCTTCCTTCTTCCTTCTCTCTTCTCTCTTCTTTCTTCTTTCTTCTTCTTGTTTTTCTTCTTCTTTGAGACAAGGTCTCGTTATTTTGCCCAGGCTGGTCTCCAACTCCTGACCTCAAGCAATCCTTCTGCCTCAGCCTCCTGAGTCACTGGCTGGCCCTTTCTTTTAGTTTTTATATTTTGTGTGACTCCAGTGCACATATTTGCATGTAATTACTTTGTTATGCTTTCCTTTTTTTTTAACCTATCTTTTGTTATAAGGGTGCTAAATGTGATCCTTTGCCATGGGAGGAAAGTGATCACCCCCTTCCTGTCCCTATAGTAGTAAATTTCTTAATTCTCCATTCACATGATCTAAGTCAGCATTTCCTCTCTAGGTGAGGCATTTACCTGGATTTTTTACTCTTCTCCCTCTTTCCTTTCTTCTTCCAATACCTAGGGGCAAGGAAGAGTCTAGCTTTCTCCTTTTTCTTCTTTCCACTTAGCTTTCCTTGTGTATACTCCAGACTGACTGTTAATACACTTAAAGAAGAAAATTGAAAATAGAATTTAGAGTCTTTTCTCAAGAAAGTAGCCAGATTTAACATAATTTTCTTGCTGTAAAATTAAATTTTTGAGTGTAAGAGTCTGAATATTATGATTCCTAATTTTCTTTCTTCTTCCCAGAAGCCCAGAGATATAAGTAGTATCGGCCAACTGGGGTAAAAATCATGTACTCATAAAAGCTAAGAAAAAAATCACATTAATAATTGTTGAAATATTTCTTTTCCTGTTTAAAAAGTGAATCTTCTCTCTAAGGAGAGATAATCTCTGGAAAAAGTTGCTTTGAGTTATTCTTCTTGAGCCTTAATATCTTTGACTTGCTCAGGACCTGTCACTTCTTCTTTCCTATTTCCCCTTTTTGGAATGGGAATGTCTGTCCTTTGTCTCCCCCGTGACTGTATTTTGAAATCATATAACTTGTTTGATGTCTCAGGCTTATAGCTAGAGAACAATTTGCCTCAGTATGAATGTACCTTGAGACTCTATGGGAACCATGGCCATTGATCCCTTAAAGGTTGGTTAACAGGAGAAAAGGAGGCCAGGCGCGGTGGCTCACGCCTGTAATCCCAGCACTTTGGGAGGCCGAGGCGGGCGGATCACGAGGTCAGGAGATCGAGACCATCCTGGCTAACACGGTGAAACCCCGTCTCTACTAAAAATACAAAAAATTAGCCGGGCGTGGTAGCGGGCGCCTGTAATCCCAGCTACTCGGGAGGCTGAGGCAGGAGAATGGCGTGAACCCGGGAGGCGGAGCTTGCAGTGAGCCGAGATCGCGCCACTGCACTCCAGCCTGGGCGACAGAGCGAGACTCCGTCTCAAAAAAAAAAAAAAAAAAAACAGGAGAAAAGGAATACAAACGTATTTAATATGTATACACAGGAGCCATTAGAATGAAAGCTCAGCTTCCCAATTATCAGGCCTTTGAGCTCAAGCCTGCACGATATACGTCCAGATGGCCTGAAACAACTGAAGGATCACAAAAGAAGTGAAAATGGCCAGTTCTTGTCTTCACTGATGACATTACCTTGTGAAATTCCTTCTCCTGGCTCAGAGGCTACCCCACTGAGCACCTTGTGATCCCCATCCCTGCCCACCTGAGAACAACCCCCTTTGACTGTAATTTTTCACTACCTACTCAAATCCTATAAAACGGCCCCACCCCTGTCTCCCTTTGCTGTCTCTCTTTTTGGTCTCAGTCCACTTGCACCCTGGTGATTAAAAAGCTTTATTGCTCATACAAAGCCTGTTTGGTGGTCTCTTCACATGCACACGTATGACATTTGGTGCTGAAGACCTGGGACAGGAGGACTCCTTCAGGAGACAGGTCCCCTGTCCTCGCCCTCACTCTGTGAGGAGATGAGGAGATCCACCTATGACCTCAGGTCCTCAGACCAACCAGCCCAAGGAACATCTCACCAATTTCAAATTGGGTAAGCGGTCTTTTCAATCTCTTCTCCAGCCTCTCTTGCTATGCTTCAATCTCCCTGTCCTTCCAATTCCAGTTCCTTTTCCTCTCTAGTAGAGACAAAGGAGATACATTTTATCTGTGGACCCAAAACTCCTGCGGCGGTCACGGACTCAGGAAGACAGTCTTCCATTGGTGTTTAATTACTGCGGGGATGCCTGCCTGATTATTCACCCACATTTCATTGGTGTCTGATCACCGCAGAGGTGCCTGCCTTGGTCATTCACCCACATTCTCTTGGTGGCAAGTCAAATGTGGGGACACTTGCTTTGGCTGCTCACCCACATTGCAGCCCAGGGCTGCTCACCACCCCCTTCTCCGTGTCTCTACCTTTCTCTTTAAACTTACCTTCTTCACTGTGGGCAAACTTCCACCCTCCATTCCCCCTTCTTCTCCCTTAGCCTGTGTTCTCAAGAACTTAAAACCTCTTCAACTCACACCTGACCTAAAACCTAACCACCTTATTTTCTTCTGCAATACTGTTGGCCCCAATACAAACTCAACAGTAATTCCAAGCAGCCAGAGAGTGGAACTTTCAATTTCTCCATCCTACAAGATCTAGATAATTTTTGTCAAAAAATGGGCAAATGATCTGGGATGCCTGATGTCCAGGCATTCTTTTACACATTGGTCCCTCCCTAGTCTCTGCTCCCAATGTGGCTCATCCCAAATCTTTCTTCTTTCTCTCCTGTCTGTTCCTTCAGTCTCCACCACAGGCTCTGAGTACTTCGAATCCCCCTTTTCTATGGACCCATCTGACCTCTCCCCTCCTTCTTAGGCTGCTCCTTGCTAGGGTGAACCAGGTCCCAATTCTTCCTCAGCTTCTGCTCCCCCACCCTATGATCCTTCTGTCACCTCCCTTCTTCACACCTGGTCTGACTTACAGTTTTGTTCCATGACTAGCCCTCCCCCACCTGCCCCAAAATTTCCTCTTAGAAAAGTGGATGGAGTTAAAGGCATAGTCAAGGTTAATGCTACTTTTTCTTTATCCTACCTCTCCCAAATCAGTTAGCGTTTAGGCTCTTTTTCATCAAATATAAAAAACCAGCCCAGTTCATGGCCTGTTTGGCAACAACCCTTAGACACTTTAATACCCTAGATCCAGAAGGGCTGGAAGGCCGTCTTATTCTCAATATGCATTTTACTACCCAATCCGCTCCTGACATTTAAAAAAAGCTCCAAAAATTAGATTCCAGCCCTCAAACCCCACAACAGGACTTAATTAACCTCGTCTTCAAGGTATACAATAATAAAGAAGAGGCAGCCAAGTGGCAACCTATTTCTGAGTTGCAATTACTTGCCTCCTCTATGAGAAAAACCCCAGCCACATCTCCAGCACAAAAGAACTTCAAAACACCTAAACTGCAGCAGCCAGGCATTCCTCCAGGACCTCCTCCCCCAGGATCTTGCTTCAAGTGCTGGAAATCTGGCCACTGGGCCAAGGAATGCCCCCAGCCCAGGATTCCTCCTAAGCTGTGTCCCTTCTGTGGAGGACCCCACTGGAAATTGGACTGTCCAACTCGCCCAGCAGCCACTCCCAGAGCCTGTAGAACTCTGGCCCAAGACTCTCTGACTGACTCCTTCCCAGAACTTCTCGGCTTAGTGGCTGAAAACTGACGCTGCCCGATTGCCTCAGAAGCCTCCTGAACCATCACAGACACTTTGAGTAACTCTTACAGTGTGGGGTAAGTCCTCCCCCTTCTTAATCAATACGGAGGCTACCCACTCCACATTACCTTTTTTTCAATGGCCTGTTTCCCTTGCCTCCATAACTGTTGTGGGTACTGACAACCAGGCTTCTAAACCCCTTAAAACTCCCCAACTCTGGTGCCAACTTGGACAACATTCTTTTATGCACTCCTTTTTAGTTATCCCCACCTGCCCAGCTCCCTTATTAGGTCAAGACATTTTAACTACATTATCTGCTTCCCTGACTATTCCTAGGCTACAGCCACACCTCACTGCCACTGCTTTAATACTTTTAGAGGCCCTCAAAATCACAAACTATGCTCCACTTACTTTCTACATTCCCATAACTTTCAAAATCTATTTTCCTCCTCACACTTGATGCATATACTTTCTGTCCCTCCTTCAGCTGTACTCACTCTTTGTTGAGTCTCCCACAATTACCATTGTTCCTGGCCCTGACTTCAATCTTGCCTCCCACATTATTACTGGTACCACACCTGACCCCCATGACTGTATCTCTCTGATCCACCTGACATTCACTCAGTTTCCCTATATTTCCTTCTTTCCTGTTCCTCACCCTGATCACATTTGGTTTATTGATGGCAGTTCCACCAGGCCTAATTGTCACTCACCAGCAAAGGCAGGCTATGCTATAGTATCTTCCACATCTATCCTTAATGGTACCACTCTGCCCCACTTCACTACCTCTCAGCAAGCCGAACTCATTGGTGTAACTCAAGCCCTCACTCCTGCAAAGGGACTATATGTCAACATTCCTACTGACTCTAAATATGCCTTCCATATCCTGCACCTTCATGCTGTTATATGGGCAGAAAAACATTTCCTCACTGCGCAAGTGTCCTCCATCATTAACGCCTCCTTAATAAAAACTCTTCTTAAAGCCGCTTTACTTCCAAAAAAGCTGGAGTCATTCATTGCAAAGGCCATCAAGGGGCCTCAGACTCCATTGCTCAAGGCAACAATTATGCTGATAAGACAGCTAAAAAGCAGCCAGTATTCCTACTTCTGTCCCTCATGGCCAGTTTATCTCCTTCTCATCTTTTCACTTTACATTTACAGTCTTGCCTTATAAAACGTCTCTTCTTCCTCTGGCTCCTCCACCTACAGGTGTCTACCTGCTAATTGGACAGGCACATGCACACTAGTTTTACTTACTCCCAAAATTCAATTTGCAAGTAGGACCAAACAGCTTCCCATTCCCCTCATGACACCAACACTTCACCACTATTTTATTTTATTTTTCTTATTAATATAAGAAGACAGGAATAGGCCTCAACTTACTCACTGCTGAAAAAGGAGGACTCTGTATATTTTTAAATGAAGAGTGGTGTTTTTATCTAAATCAATCTGGCCTAGTATATGATGACATAAAAAAAAAGACCCTCAAGAATAGACCCCAAAAACTTGCCAACCAAGCAAATAATCATGCTGAACCCCTTTGGGCACTCTCTAATTAGATGCCCTGGGTCCTCCCAATTCTTAGTCCTTTAACACCTGTTTTTCTCCTTCTCTTATTCAGACCTTGTGTCTTCCATTTAGTTTCTCAATTCATACAAAACCACATCCAGGCCATCACCAATCATTCTATATGACAAATGCTTCTTCTGACATCCCCACAATATTGCCCCTTACCACAAAATCTTCCTTCCCTTCAGCTTAACCTCTCCCACTCGAGGTTTCCATGCCACCCCAATCCTGCTCGAAGCAGCCCTGAAAAACATCACCCATTATCTCTCCATACCACCCCCCAAAATTTTTGCCACCCCAACACTTCGCCACTGTCTTGTTTTGTTTTTCTTATTAATACAAGAAGACAGTAATGTCAGGCCTCTGAGCCTAAGCCTGCAGGTACACATCCAGGTGGCCTGAAGCAACTGAAAAATCGCAAAAGAAGTGAAAATCAGTTCCTGCCTTAACTGATGACATTACCTTGTGAAATTCCTTCTCCTGGCTCAGAAGCTCCCCCACTGAGCACCCCTTGTGACCCCTGCCCCTGCCCACAAGAGAACAACCCCCTTTGACTGTAATTTTCCACTACCTCCCCAAATCCTATAAAACTGCCCTACCCTTACCTTCCTCTGCTGACTCTCTTTTCAGACTCAGCCTGCCTGCACCCAGGTGATTAAAAAGCTTTATTGCTTACACAAAGCCTGTTTGGTGGTCTCTTCACGTGGACACACGTGACACCAATGAGTTACAGAAGCGTGTACACCATTTCAAGGTTACAGAAATAATGCGGGTTGGATTCTGCTAACACAGGTTATGGGATTGGGAAAAAGAGAAATTCTATTGAGGGGCAATAAATGATTGCTGGGGAGAATGATTGGATCTTGGAACAGAGATTAACCTGTTAGTAGTTTCTTTGGAATTTAAATGCTCCTTGGAGATGTCTATGAAAAGAGTTGAACTCTAAAATATGTGAAGAGATTTATTCTGAGCCAAATATGAGTGACCATGGCCTGTGATACAGCCCTCAGGAAGTCCTGAGAACATGTGCCCAAGGTGGTCAGGGCACAGGTTAGTTTTATACATTTTAGAGACCATGAGACATCAATCAAATACATTAAAGAAATACATTGATTAAGAAATACATCCGGCCGGGCGCGGTGGCTCACGCCTGTAATCCCAGCACTTTGGGAGGCCGAGGCGGGTGGATCATGAGGTCAAGAGATCGAGACCATCCTGGCTAACAAGGTGAAACCCCGTCTCTACTAAAAATACAAAAAATTAGCCGGGCGCGGTGGCGGGCGCCTGTAGTCCCAGCTACTCAGGAGGCTGAGGCAGGAGAATGGCGTGAACCCGGGAAGCGGAGCTTGCAGTGAGCCGAGATTGCGCCACTGCAGTCCGCAGTCCGGCCTGGGCGACAGAGCGAGACTCCGTCTCAAAAAAAAAAAAAAATAAAATAAAAAAAAAAAAAAAAAAAGAAATACATCCATCAAATACATTTAAGAAACACATTGATTTAGAAAAGCAGAACAACTCAAACTGGAGGGGCTTTCAGGCTACAGGTGAATTTAAGTATTTTCTGGTTGACAATTGGTTGATTTTGTCTAAAGACCTGATATCAATAGAACGGGAATGTTCAGGTTAAGGTAAAGATTGTAGAGACCACAGTTCTTTTGAAGTCTTATAGTGGCTGCCCTTACAGAAGATAGGTGACAAATGTTTCCTATTCAGATCTTACCTGTTTAGGATTGGGAGGGTCTGGAAGAAAAAGATCTAGTTATGTTAGTGGACATCCTTTACAGATGTAAATTTTCCCCCCACAAAGAACAGCTTTGCAGGGCCATTTCAAAATATGGCAAATAAACATATTTTGGGGTAAAATATTTTTATTTTCTTTTTTGTCTCATAATGTTATGCCAGAGTCAGGTTGGAAAGTATATCATGATATAGGGTTAAATAAAACTCATCTGATGAGAATTTATGATTTGTAGGTCCCCAGACCCCTTAGGAATATGGGCAAGATTAAAAAATCAGAGTTTAGTCCTCAGAGATAGTTATTGTAACTCCTAAAAATGTCTGCTTAGGTGTGGTCACATGTTGATCTTTTTTACTGCAATATATAATGAAATAACAGTGAGGTAAAGAAATAACAATTTTTCTTTTTGGTGGTTTTGTATCTTAGGCAGATAAAGGGAATTCAGCCTCTTTGAGAGAGATGGTGTGGATGTAGGGGAAGGTCAGAGAGACCTTGAGACTTCTACTAGTCACCATGTCAAAACCCCATATTTTCAGCATTGATTTCTGAGCCGTGGCACTAATTTATACCTGATTAATGATATTTATTTATTTATTTATTTATTTATTTATTTATTTATGTGACGGAGTCTCACTCTGTCACCCAGGCTGGAGTGCAGTGGTGAGATCTTGGCTCACTGAAACCTCTGCCTCCCAGGTTCAAGCAGTTCTTCTGCCTCAGCCTCCTGAGTAGCTGGGATTACAGGCATGTGCCACCACCCCTGGCTAGTTTTCGTATTTTTAGTAGAGACAGGGTTTCATCATGTTGGTCAGGCTGGTCTCAAACTCCTCACCTCATGATCCACCCACCTTGGCCTCCCAAAGTGCTGGGATTACAAGCATGAGCCACTGCGCCCGGCTAAGATGATATTTAAATAAGACTTTGGACTTCAGACTTTTGAGTGTATGCAAGAGTGAATTAGCACTGTTGGCACCATTGAGATGGAATAAATGTAGTTTGCATGCAAGAAGGACATGAATTTGGTGGGATTGGAGGTAGAATGTCATGGTCTGAATGTCTGAACATTTCTTTTTTTTTTTGTTTTTTTAATTATACTTTAAGTTTTAGGGTACATGTGCACAATGTGCAGGTTTGTTACATATGTATACATGTGCCATGTTGGTGTGCTGCACCCATTAACTCGTCATTTAACATTAGGTATATCTCCTAATGCTATCCCTCCCCCCTCCCCCCTCCCCCCACCCCACAACAGGCCCCAGTGTGTGATGTTCCCCTTCCTGTGTCCGTGTGTTCTCATTGTTCAATTTCCACCTATGAGTGAGAACATGTGCTTTTTTTTTTTTGTCCTTGCGATAGTTTGCTGAGAATGATGGTTATTTCTATCCTCTTCAAAGTTATGTGTCTCAATCCTAACCATCAATTTGATGGTATTCAGAGGTACAACCTTTGGGAGGTGACTAATTGATGAGGTTGGAGCTGTCATGAATGGGATGACTCATGACTCTCCTTACAAAAGAAGCCACTAGAGACCTTCTTGGCTCCTTTCAATATTTGAGGACACATAGTGAAAGCACCATCTATGAACCAAGAAGTTGCCTTCACCAGACACCAAATTTGCTGATGCCTTGATCTTGGAATCCTCAGCCTACAGATTGTGAGACACAAATTTCTATTATTAATAAGCCACCAATTATGGTATTATGTTATAGCAGCCAGAACATACTAAGACATTTATTCAATATGTTTTACTAAGTACCTCGTGTGCATTCGAACTGTGTTAGGTTTTACTTTAAGGACATCTATTTTATATGCTTTATGCTAAATTATGCTAAATACAAGCACATTTCTTCCCTCTTACTTTTTAATCCTTAGGTAGGATTCCAACAAGGGAGTAGGCAGCATAGACTCAATATAATATACATTCTATCAACAGGTTTTACTCATAATAGATATTAAAGGAATTTTTTTTTTTTTTCAGATGGAGTCTCGCTCTGTCGCCCAGGCTGGAGTGCAGTGGCGCTGTCTCGGCTCACTGCAAGCTCAGCCTCCCGGGTTCACGCCATTCTCCTGCCTCAGCCTCCCAAGTAGCTGGGACTACAGGCGCCCGCCACCATACCTGGCTAATTTTTTTGTTTTTTAGTAGAGGCGGGGTTTCACCGTGTTAGCCAGGATGGTCTCAATCTCCTGACCCCGTGATCCGCCCGCCTCGGCCTCCCAAGGTGCTGGGATTACAGGCGTGAGCCACTGCCTCCAGCCCCTACAGGAATATTTTTTAAAATAAAATTAAAAAGACAGTTACCATGTTTTCAAAATTAAATATTAGCTTAATTCCATCAATGCGTGTATTATTATTATTATTATTATTATTATTATTATTATTATTATTTTTGTAGTTTAAACTTCTAAAGCCTAAACTAAATTTCTGTGTTGTTTGGGCTGTGGCATCACAGATCCCATATTAAGGCAAGGTCACTCTTGCTTTTTTTTTTCCCCATTGCACTTAAGTGTTTGTTTATTGAATCACAGAACATAACTTGAAGGAACCTTAAGAAAGTATTGCACAAAACTACCAGGGAGAACTAGACTGTCATTAAGTTTACAAATAAGTTTTTATAGACTAAGCACTAGGCTTCTGAGGAAAACTCAACCATAATAGCTTTCGCGTACTTCAGCAAGTACTTGTTTCTGTGTGATTTACAGATTTTTGCATATATACACCTACATTTATTTTTGCAATATAATCCAGTTCTAGAATAGATAAAGAAAACCATTAACTCTCCATTTCTCTCATTAAATGGGAGTTTATATACAACAAAGACACTGTTCAGAAATGTGTTAGGAACTGATTATATCTAAAAAGCACATAAGGGAATGCTGAAAAATAAATCATGTCTACGCAGAAATTTCTCATTTCCATTTGATTTGTAAGCCTTCCAAAATTCCATTTTTTTTGTTTTTAAGATGTTATCAAGCAATTAAAAGTGTGTATTTGCAGGTTGGGAAGAAAGCCATTATTACACAAATTCAGTAGATGATAGCGATTATTGTTAAACTAAGTTATAGGGCATCAGAGTTCACTCATAAAGCAACAGCATCTTATCACCTTGATAAGCCTCCTGTAAGGCTAGAGGCAGGTATAATAAAGTCTGCTGAAGAAACCCAGTGCCAGGTCAGGGGAATGTAGAAATTATCACCACCCCAAGGAGACTTCTTTATAATTTTTTTAACTCTGGTTCCTGGGGTATAATTACTTTACTGTCCATCTTTTGCCCCACCTGCCTAAATCATCACATTGCTACTCAGCTCAGTCCTGCTAACTCTACTTCCTTCCAGGTAAGATTTTTTTTCAGATCTTTTAAGCACGCTCAAATCTCTCTTACATTTTCACCTTTTGAGAGGAGAAAATTCTTGAAGTAACAAAGGAGGAAACTCCTGACATCGTTCAAGTTAGGGAGTTTTAGAATGAGCCAAGGACAATACTCCTGCTGCTTGTGATATTACATCATGTGGCCATCTCTACCCATATGCAACACAAGCCTTGATGACCAACGGAGTTCGAATAACCATTATTTTATTATTATTATCAATTATTTTTTCTTTCTTTAAAAAATTTTATTTTTAGGGCCTTTCTGACAAAACCCGGAAAGACTGCTAGACAATTCTAAAACAGCTGTAACACTTCAAATAACTATTCTTAAAGAGCTGTACTAAAAGTCTGTGTCCTCAAAATTAGAAGTGGTCTTTTAGACCAAATCTACTTAAAATGTAGTCTGTGACCTTGTATCATCCTCTGAAACTTTTGCTTCCAGACTGTGTTAAGTATGGAAATGGAGAGTGTTTAGAAACTTTCATAGCTATTTGATAAAATCTAGTGATTCTTAGAGTGAAAATTAACATTGATCTTACTTTCTTGATCTTTTTTAATACTTCATTTTTCTAGTAATTTATTTTACTGTATTCGTAAAAGCATTGGTTAGTGACAGATTTTAAAATAAAAAAAACTATCCTTCAGGCCAGGTGCAGTGGCTTGCACCTGTAATCTCAGTACTTTGGGAGGCCGCGGCAGAAAGATTGCTTCAGGCCAGGAGTTCAAGACCAGCCTGGTCAATACTATGAGACCTCACCTTTACTAAAAATTTAAGAATAATAGGCAGGTGTGGTGGTGCACGCCTGTAGTCCCAGCTACTGGGGAGACTGAGAGAGGAGGATTGCTTGATTCCAGAAGGTCAAGGCTGCAGTGAGCCATAATTATGCCTCTGCATTTCAGCTTGGGTGACAGAGTAAGACTGTATCTCTAAAATATATATATATATATATAAATATATAAATATATATATATAAAAATATATATATATATATATATACTCTTTACCACTCTGATTATAACAAACAATGTTTTAGACCCTTGTATTGTAAAGAAGCATTGGAAGTTTAGATTATAGCATTGACAATATTTTAATTCCTTTTATCGATTTACTCCAGATAAAATAGATTATAGTTACATGATAAGAAGGGCCCATCTCTTTAATCTCAGAGAAACACAGGACAATATCAAGCTTGGCCTGTGAGTATGGATCTGTCTTTATTTTATATTCAGAGAAATGGTAGAAAGGGGTGGAAGGGAATAAAGGTAATTTACTAATACTTATCTACTTCAAGATGTGTGACTCATTTTTCATTACTGAGACGCATCCCTCCCCCCAGTTTTTTTTGTATTAGACAATCACATTAGTTTTGGTTTGGGTATTATAAATAAAAGTAAAGACAGAAAAATATTATAAAATTAAAATTCATAAAGAAGGAAAAATAATGAGAAAATGTACACTTGAGAAAGTTACTAATATGGATAAATTTTTTTAATTAAGACAAAAGAAAACAATCTCTTTGGAAGCAATAGATGTAAGTTATTAAGTCCGTCAATATACCATGCAAATTGTGATCCAATATAACTTAGTTGCTCTCTGGACAAGCTGGAAATGGTAGAAATATGCAGGAAAATCAGACATCATGGTTTAATTCAAAGAGTCTCTACCTGCATTTATTTTCTGTTGCTTGGAAATTTGTCTTTAGTATCTATTTTAAAAGTAGACATTCAACATAAACAGAACTATAGCAGGAGGAAAGGTGAAGTGAAGGAAAGAGAGAGATCCTTTAGGATGCACTGGAGGGACAAACCCTAAGGGATATTGGACAAGAATTTCTTTTTTTTTCTGAGACAGGGTCTCTTTCCATCACCCAAGCTGGAGTGCAGTGGTGTGATCATGGCTCACTGCAGCCTTGTCCTCCTGGGCTCAAGTGATCCTCTCTCCTCACTTTCTCAGGGAGCTGGGACCACAAGCATGTGCCAGCATGCCTGGCTAATTTTTTGGCATTTTTTTTTTTTGTAGGGACAGGGTTTCAGCATGTTGCCCAGACTGGTTACAAACTCCTGAGCTCAAGTAATCTACCCGCCTAGGTCTCTCAAAGTGCTGGGATTACAGGTGCAAGCCAACTCTGCCTGGCCTGGAAGAGAAAAGTTGATGATAAAAGGAAAGTTCTGTTTTTGCTATCTCTTGTTATGTAACAATTTACCCCAAATCTTACTAGATTAAAATAACATCTGTTTATTATTTCAGAGTTTCCATAGGTCAGAAATCCAGGTAAAGCTAAGCTGGGAACTCTGCATCCTGGTTTCTTATTAGGCTGCAATTAAGGTATTGGCACAGGATGGACAATTTCATTTGAAGGCTTGTCTAGGAAAGTATCCACTTCCAAGCTCACCTTGCAAATGGCAGGATTTTAGTTTCCTGTCAGCGGTGAGAGTTAGGGCTTTAACTTTTGACTGGTAGTTGGTCAGAAGCCATCCCCAACAAGGCAACTGGCTTCATCAAAGTGTGCAAACCAGAAGGCAAGAGAGAGTGAGCCTGCCAGCAAAATGGAGGTTGTAGTCTTTTCTAACCTAACTGTTGAAGTGATGCATTCTCAATGTGCTGTATTCTATTGATCATAAGCAGCTACTCAAGGGAAGGGGATTATACAGGCCATTAATACCAGGAAGCAGGAATTAAGGGGCCAGCTTTGGAATCTGTCTACCATATCATGAAGAAGGTGCAAACAACATGGTGTTGAAAAGAGAAAATAATTCATCCTCCTCTGATTGAGTAAAATAAATAAATTATTGTGCCCCAAATTTCAAAGTAAGCAAGATCTTTCTTTATACAACTGAAAGCCAAAAACGTTGATCTAGCTTTTGGATCCTAGAAAGGAGGAATGTAAAGAAACCTGGAAAACACAAAGAGGAAATAATTTTGATTTCAAAGAGAGAAGAACTAAATGAAGAACTATGCCCCTGCCCCAGGGTCAATCATTATATAAACTTATACATGGAGAGTAAATGGGATGCTAATATTCACTGAGGGCAAATTATATTTTTACAGACCACACTAGACCATGACTATAAGAGAAACTTACCTGGGTTATAAAAAATACCTATGATAATATTTTATAATATAACCATGTTACAAAAACAGTTAAACAATTGCCCTAGATTGCAAATAGTTTCATCAATTTAGAAAAAAAGAATATGCCAGCTTATCAATAGTCCTTGAAAATAACCACTTAGGAACATTCTCATAATAAAAGTTTGTGAATAATCAGTAGTAAGATACCATTTTTCACTTATCAAATTAGGAATTTTGTTCAATTCCAGGGAATAGTATATGTTTAAAATACTTATGGATATGTAAATTGATACATTTCTATAACACAATTAATATTTGATAGCAAGCATCATGAATTTTAAATGTATACACTATCTAAACAAAATTTTTTAATTTTAATTGCAATGTCTGTACCTCTTATGGGTCTATTCAAATTTTCTGAATTTTTTTTTTTTGAGTCAGTGTTGGTAATCTTTCTAAGAATTTTCCTATTTCAGCTAAGTTTTCTAATTTGTGGCATAAAGTTGCCCAATATATTACATTAAATTCTTTTAATCTCTGTAAGCTCTGTAGTGATATCCCCTTTATCCTTCTTGATTTTGGTAATTGCGTCTTCTCTTTCTTTCTTTGCCCGTGTAACTAAAGAAAACACTTTTTTTTGACCTTTCAAAGAACAAAATTTTGATTTCATTGCTTTACCCTTTTTGTCTTATGATCTTTATTGTTTATTTCTTTCTTTCACTTTGGGTTTGACTTGCTATTGTTTTTTCGAGCTTCATGAAGTAAAAGCTCAGGATTTCACCTGTTAATTTTAGGTATTTTGTCCTTTCAAATAAAAATGCTTAAAGCCATAAATTTTTCTTTAAACTCTCATTACCTCTAAATTTTCATATGTTGGGTTTTCATTTTAGTTTGGTTCACAGATAATGTCATTATTGATAAGGTTGAATTTATTTAAATGTGTCATTTTTTTTGTTCCACTAGATTTCCTTTACCGCCTGCTTTTGTGTTAAACAAATATATTTGATATACACTTTTAATTACACTCTTGATTTTTTAATTATATTTTTGAGTTATTATCTTAGGTGTTGCACTAGGGGTTATAACATAGACCTAAATTCATCACTATCTACTTCAGGTTAATAACTATCTAATTCCAATAATATATGGTAATGTTGTTCTAATGAAGATCCATTTTCTCCCTCTTCTTTTGTGCTGTTATTGACATATAATAGTATATATAGTATAACATCTATATATGTTATAAACCCAGCAACTGAATGGGATATTTATTTTTCATAAAATCTCAAATTAAAAAAAAAAAATCAGCTGGTGCAGTGACTCATGCCTTTAATCCCAGCACTTTGGGAGGCCGAGGCAGGCGGATCAAGAGGTCAGGAGTTTGAGACAAGCCTGGCCAACATAGTGAAAACTCGTCTCTACTAAAAATACAAAAAATTAACCGGATGTGGTGGCGGTCGTCTGTAATCCTAGCTATTCAGGAGGCTGAGGCAGGAGAATCGCTTGAACCTGGGAGGCGGAGGTTGCAGTGAGCCAAGATTGCGCCACGGCACTCCAGCCCAGGAGACGGTGCGAGACTCCATCTCAAAAAAAAAAAAAAAAAAATTCAAAAGAGAAATAAAAATACATTTGTACTGTTTTGTATTAATACATATACTTGCCATTTCTCATGATCTGTATTTCTTCTCACAGATTTAAGTTACTGTTTGGTGTCATTTCTTTGCAGACTAAAAGCATTCCTTTAATATGGTAGAGCATGTGTGTAGCAACGAATGTTCTCATTTTTTTTGGTTCATATTGCTTTCATCTTTGAATAATACTTTGGTTGTATATAGAATTCTCAGTTAATGTGTTTTTATCTGTTTTTGTTTTTTAACAAAACAATGTTTTAATTAATTATTAATTAATGTTTTAATTTAATTAATGTTTTAACAAAACATTAAGCCTTTCTAATATGTTACTGGGCTTCTTTCTACTCCTCAATTTATTTCTGAAAAGAAGTCAAGAATTAATTTTATTACCATTTCCCATGTTTGTGATGTCATTTTTCTCGTTACATTCAATATTTACTCATCTTTAGCTTTAATAAGTTTGGCTAGAAAGTGTCTAGAAGTAAACGTTTTTGTGTTTATCTGACTCTGTTTATTAAGCTTCCTTGATCTATAAAGTTTTTCATAAACCTGAGAATTCTTGGTCATTGTTTATTCAAGTATTTTTTGTAGTACTTCCTATTCTTTTCTTCTAGAATTTCCATTATGTGAGTATTTATATGCTTCATATGGTAGCACAGGTTGCTGTAGTTCTGTTCATTTTTATTCAAGTTTTCTGTCTGTTATTCACATTAAATTATTTATATTCAAGTCAATTAAATCTTTATTCTACTGCATTAGTCACACTGCTAATAAAGACATACCTGAGATTGGGTAATTTATAAGGAAAGAGGTTTAATGGACTCACAATTCCACATGGCTGGGGAGGCCTCACAATCATGGCAGAAGGTAAAGGAGGAGCAGAGGCATGTCTTGCCTGGTGTCAGGCAAGAGAGAATGTGTTCAGGGGAACTGCCCCTTATAAAACCATCAGATTTCATGAGATTTAATCACTATCATGAGAACAGCACAGGAAAAACCCATCCCCATAATTCAATTACATCCCACTAGGTCCTTCCCACAACATGTGGGGATTAAGGGAGCTATAATTCAAGATGATATTTGGGTGGGGACACAAACAAACTATATCATTTAGCCCCTGGCTCCTCCCAAATCTCATGTCCTCACATTTTAAAACCACTCATGCCTTCCCAACAGTCCCTCAAAGTCTTAATTCATTGCAGCATTAACCCAAAAGTCCAAGTCCAAAATCTCACCTGAGACAAGGCAAGTCTCTTCTGCCCATGAGCCTGTAAAATCAAAAGCAAGTTAGTTACTTTCTAGATACAATGAGGGTACAGGCATTAGGTAAATACAACTATTCCAAATGGGTGGAAGTGGCAAAAATAAAGGAGCTACAAGCCACATGCAAGTCCAAAATCCAGCAGGGCAGTCAAATCTTAAAGCTCCAAAATGATCTCCTTTGACTCCATGTCTCACATCCAGGTCACATTGATGCAAGAGGTAGTTTCCCACGGTCTTGGGAAGCTCCAACCCTGTGGCTTTGCAGGGTACTGCCCCCCTCCTGGCTGCTTTCATGGGCTGGTATTGAGTGTCTACAGCTTTTTCAGGTGCACAGTGCAAGCTATTGGTGGATCTACCATTCTGGGGTCTGGAGGATGTGTCCTTCTTCTCACAGTTCCACTATGCAGTGCCACAGAGGGGACTCTATATAGGGGCTCCCACCCCACATTTCCCATCCACACTGCCCTAACAGAGGTTCTCCATGAGGGCTCTGCACTTGCAGCACACTTCTGTCTGGACATCCAGGTGGTTCCATACATCCTCTGAAATCTAGGTGGAAGTTCCCAAATCTCAGTTCTTGACTTCTATGCCCCTGAAGGCTCAACACCACGTGGAAGCTATCATGGCTTGGGTCTTGCACCTTCTGAAGCAATGGCCTGAGGTGTTCATTGGCCACTTTTAGCCACAGCTGGAGTGGCTGAGATGCAGGGCACCAAGTCCCAAGGCTGCACAGCCCAGTCCACAAAACCATTTTTTTTCTCCTAGTTCTCCTGGCCTGTGATGAGACGGGCTGTTATGAAGACTTCTGACATTCCCTGGAAACATTTTCTGCATTTTCTTGTTGAGTAGCATTTAGCTCCTCATTAGTTATGCAAATTTCTGCAGGCAGCTTGAATTTCTCCCCAGAAAACGGGGTTTTCTTTTCTATTGCATTGTCAGGCTGCAAATTTTCCAAACTTTTATGCTTTGCTTCCTCTTAAACACTTTGCTGCTTAGAAATTTCTTCTGCCAAATATCCTAAATTATCTCTCTCATATTAAAAGTTCCAGGCCGGGCATGGTGGCTCACACCTGTAATCCTAGCACTTTGGGAGGCAGAGAAGGGTGGATCACCTGAGGTCGGGAGTTCTAGACCAGCCTGACCCACATGGAGAAACCCCATCTCTACTAAAAATACAAAATTAGCTGGGCGTGGTAGCGCATGCCTGTAATTCCAGCTACTAGGGAGGCTGAGGCAGGACAATAACTTGAACCCAGGAGGCAGAGGTTGTGGTTAGCCAAGATCATGCTATTGCACTCCAGCCTGGGCAACAAGAGTTAAACTCCATCTCAAAAAAAAAAAAGTTCCACAGATCTCAAGGGCAGGGGCAAAATGCCACCAGTCTCTTTGCATAGCAAAAGAGCTTTATTCCATTTCTACACAAGTTCCTTACCTCCATTTGAGAACACCTCAGCCTGGACCTTATTGTCCATATCACTATCAGTATTTTGGTCAAAGCCATTTAACAAGTCCAAGTCTCCAGGGAGTTCCAAACTTTCCCATATCTTCCTGTCTTCTGAGCCCTCCAAACTATTCCAACCTCTGCCTGTTCCCCAGTTCCAAAGTCACTTCCACATTTTCGAGTATCTTTACAGTGACACTGCACTACCCGGTACCAATTTACTATATTAGTTCGTTCTCATGCTGCTAATAAAGACATACCTGAGACTGGGTGATTTATAAAGAAAAAGAGGTTTAATGGACTCACAATTCCACATGGCTGGAGAGACCTCACAATCATGGCAAAAGGTGAAGGAGGTGCAAAGTCACATCTTACATGGTGGCAGGCAGGAGAGTGTGTGCAGGGGAACTTCCCTTTATAAAACCATCAGCTCTCGACTGGGTACGGTGGCTCACGCCTGTAATCCCAGCACTTTGGGAGGCTGAGGCGGAAGGATCACGAGGTCAAGAGATGGAGACCATCCTGGCAACATGGTGAAACCCCGTCTCTACTAAAAATACAAAAAAATTAGCTGGCTTGGTGGTGCGTGCCTGTAGTCCCAGCTACTAGGGAGGCTGAGGCAGGAGAAAGGCTTGAACCCAGGAGGCGGAGGTTGCAGTGAGCCGAGATCGCACCACTTCACTCCAGCCTGGAGACAGCAAGACTTCGTCTCAAAACAAACCAACACCCCAAAAAAAACAAAAAAAAAGACAACCGTCAGCTCTCAAAAGACTTATTCACTATCACAAAAACAGCATGGGAAAAACCCACCCCCATGATTCAATTACCTCAGGCTGGGTCCCCCCAGGATACGTGGGGATTATAAGAGCTACAATTCAAGATGAGATCTGGAGAGGGACACAGCCAAATCATATCATCTACTGTTTAAATAATTCCATGTACCCATGTATTCAAATTTGTATTTTGGTTATTCAGTTATTATTCTTTTCAATTCTAGAGCTTTCATTCATACACATACATGCACACACACGTATTTCTACTTTTCTATTGATTCCCTATTTGTTGAGTTGTCATCATAATATTTTCCTTTAATTATTTAAGTTGGACTTTATTTACTTTAAATTCGTTTTCCTTAATTATTTGAATACAATTATACTTTGCTGATCTAACCTCTAGGTCTATTTTTATTGACTTTAGTCCCCAAGTATTGGTTACATTTTCCTTTTTCTTCTTGTGTATAACTTTTTGTTCAAAACCATACATTTTATTATTTTAATTTTTATGGATACATAATAGTTGGACATATTTATGAGGTACATGTAATATTTTTGTATAAGTATACAATGTGCAATAATCAAATCTGGGTAATTGGGATACCCATCCTCTTAAACATTTATCATTTCTTTGTGTTAGTAACATTCCAATTCTGTTCTTTTCATTCTTTTGAAATATACAATAAATTATTGCCGATCATAGTCACTCTGGTGTGCTACCGAACACTAGATTTTATTCCTCCTATCTAAACGTATATTTTTTACTCATTAACTAACCCCTCTCTATCCTCCCCCCGCCTCCGGGCACTCTGCACTACCCTTTCCGGCCTCTGGTAACCATTATTCTACTCTCTATCTCCATGAGATTAATTTTCTATTAACTTCCACTTGTGAGTGAGAACATGCACTATTTGTCTTTCTGTGCCTGGCTTATTTCATTTAACATAATGTTCCTCCAGTTTCCTTCCTTCCTTCCTTCTTTCCTTCTTTCCTTCCTTCCTTCTTTCCTTCTTTCCTTCTTTCTTTCCTTCTTCCTTACTTCCTTTCTTTCTGAGACGGAGTCTCGCTCTGTCACCCAGGCTCCAGTGCAGTGGCGCGATCTGGGCTGACTACAACCTCTGCCTCCTGGGTTCACGTCATTCTCCTGCCTCAGCCTCCCGAGTAGCTGGGACCACAGGCACCCGCCACCACGCCCGGCTAATTTTTTTGTATTTTTAGTAGAGACGGGATTTCACCATGTTAGCCAGGATGGCCTCGATCTCCTGACCTTGTGATCCGCCCTCCTCGGCTTCCCAAAGTGCTGGGATTACAGGCTTGAGCCACTGCGCCTGGCCTCCAGTTTCATCCATGATTTTACAAATGACATCCCTTTGTTCTCTTTAATGACTAAAAAATATTCCACTGTGCACACGTACTACATTTTATTTATTCATTCATCCATTGGTGAACACTCTGGGTGATTTCCATAGTTTGCCTATTGTAAACTGTGCTGTCATAAACATGGGTGTGTAAATATCTCTTTCGTATACTGATTTTCTTTTAAATAATTAACCAGCAGTAGTTCTATATTTAATTTTTGAGTAAATTCCATACTGTTTTTTCATAGTGTACTAATTTACATTCCCCCACACAGTGTATGAGCATTTTTTCTCTGCATCTTCACCAATATACAGTATTTTTTATCTTTTTGATAAAACTCATTTTAACTGGAGTGAGATGGTATCTCATTGCATACAATTCAAATATATATTAGAATAGATTTGATTTTCACTCCCCGATGTTAGTGATGTTGAGCCTTTTTCATGTTTCTGTTGGTCATTTGCATATATTCTTTGAGAAAAGTCTATTCAGATGTTTGCCTTGTTTTTAATTGAATTTTTTGTTTTTGTTTTTGCTATTGAGTTGTCTGAGTTTCCTATATAAACTGGTTATCAAAACCAGACATTTCAGATAATATAGCAACTCAACTCTCATTTGCCCCTTAAGATGTGTATGCTTTTGCTGCTGTTGTTTATATGTTTGTTTTTTTGATGACTTGCCTGGATTTCCGTTCTCATGATGTATGGCCACAGATGTGTTTGTTCATCTTATCTTGTTCTCATTTTTATTTTTTAACCTAGCTGCCCTAGGGGTCACTCTGTGTCTTTATGGCTCTGTGATCAGTCAACGATTTGGGCAGTAGTGCTTGAACATATTGATTCCATAAAGTTTTGCCTTTTGCTGAAAGGCTTTCTCTGAGGCATACATTCAAAATTCAGCCAGTTCTCAAATACACCCTGACTTTTCCTTTCTGCTGGGCCCACGTTGGCCTTCCTTGCACATATGTTTATTTATCCAGTCACTCAGGGAAGTATTAAGAGCTTATCAGATCCTTCTATGTCTCTCATTTCTAGGTTCTCTCCACTCAATCTATGGGTTATTCACAGCTCTGTAACCGTAAGCTAACAGAGGCACAAGCTTCCCTATTCATTTCCTCCAAAAATTGCTACTTTAACTAATAAAAGGAATATGGTTTTATATTTCCTGTTCCAAAAAGTCAGCCCACTCTGGCAACATGTCTACTGGTTTTGAGTTAAGTTGTCACTTCACCTGAAATAGGCAAGGAGGAGGAAAGCATTCCCAGGAAAGAAGGCTGCAGATCCCACTGCCCTTATTAGGCTTCCAGTGGGGTTTCTTATGAATAAATGCTTCTCCATTAGTTGTTTGTGTTTGCTTGATTTCCAGAGACCTGAAATGCTTATTTTTGACATGTTTCCTACTTTTATATTTTTTGGAGAGATGATACTTTGATCTTTTCATTCCACAATGCCAGAATCTTCACCCCTGGAAACTAAAGTTAGATTTCCAGTATTTATATGTGACTAGGTTAATTTGATCATAGAAGGAGAGTGGCTTTCATAGCTCTTATTCGATTCTACAAGGAATACCTAATCACAAATATTTAAAATTACATAGCATTTACATGCATCATGAGTAACACTGAAGTATTTAATAAATAGCTGCTGATGAGGGTGGGGCTGAGAGAGTCATGGCTAACCTACAGGTGAGCATGTACACATCAGAGAAAATAATCAGGACATGATTCAAAGAATGGGGACTCTGAAAGGGATCTCAAACAACCTAACACTTTCAGTTACTACTGTTTGGTAAACTTTATTTTTTAATTCCAGGTGGCCACCTCCTAACCCTGCCTAATTCCAGGACACAGGGCTAAAGTCTCTGTAGCTAATGAAAGTGCTTTTCAAATACACCTACATACAAAGCCTCTACTCTATTTGATTATTTTTCAGCCAAACTGTAAAGTTCAAATGTTGGAACGCCAGTAAAAGAGGCATAAAATGAATCTGATGAGAAGGTGCTTGGTTGATGGGGATAGATAGAAAAAAGATACATCACAGTTTGGAGGAATAAGATGAAGTGGTTAAGACAACGGACTTAATTTAAGCCTTAAAGGATCTATGCTTAAATTCACCACTTGGAAGCTGCATAGTATTAAGACATGTAGTTAACTTCCCTGAGTCTCCTTTTTTTTCATAGAAACTTGGAATAATAGTATGTATTTTATGGGGTCTTTGTAAAGATTAAATGAGTAAGTTTTTAATAAGACACTCACCTGTACCGTGTTAAGACCTCCATGTGTAAGAACTATTATTCATAAGTTTTTTTAGTGGTCTATGCCTTGTTCTTTATTTGTTAGGTCGTTACAGTCTTGGTGAGGAAGGACTGTGGCATTCAGGAAGTTCTGTAGCATTGATAAACACTTGAGGCATGGAGAAAGCTCAGAGAGTAGACAGAATGCCTGGATTCTTGACTGAGACATTTCCCTCTAGAAATTCACATGCTGAAAACACCCGTAACCTTTAGCATTTATTCAAATCTTTGAGAGGATGAAAATGTTTTTAGTATAGTGGAATCTTGAGACCTCTTTGTCAAAGTAACTCATTGAGATGTAAAGAATTGAATAAACTAGCTTCTTGCTGTCGGTAGTAATAGAGGATATAGAAAGAGGGAAAGATGAGACCCACAAATAATATAGCTCTTATTCTGGCCAACCATTGCAAATAATTTTTTTATAAATACATGTCTGGAGTATGTATCTGTGTATTTGTGTGTGTGTCTGTGCTTCTTGAAGTGTTTCTGCTGAAAAGTGTCATGGATTTTTTGTTAGTTCATCCCCACATCATGAATAATTTAATTGGGTGCTTTGTAGTAATTTTTACTGCCTCTGAAATAGAGCTATAATTCTAAAAAAATAAGAATTATTATTATTTATGAAGCCTTTAGTTTTCCTTCTTCACTTCCTCACTAACACTTCTATACTCTCATGTAATGGGCAAGCTGATAGATATTAAAACTCCTATATTTCAAATATAAAATAATATTTCCATCCAGTCATCCCTCTGTATTTGTCAGGGATTGATCCCAGGATCCCTGCATATAACAAAATTCAGTTACTTTCAAGTCCCTTAAATAAGATGGCATAGTATTTGCATATAACTTATGCACATCTTCACATATACTTGAAACCATTTCTAGATTACTTTTAATGCCTAGTACAATGTATATGATATGTAAACAGTTGTCATACTACATTATTTTTATTCATATTATTTGTATTGTTATATTGTTATTTTTATTGTTTTTAATATAGTTTTCACCCACAGTTGGTTGAATCCATGGATGCTGAACCAGTGGATGTGGAGGGCCAACTGTATTTAGTTCTTGGCTTTCATTTTTTATATAGTTTTAGAATCACAAATGTTATTGATGTTGGCTTATCTTCTCTTTGCTTTAAGCTAATTGCTTGGAATTAATCTTTCTCATAGTATCAATGAACACTCTTCTAAGGCACATTTAAAGTATTAGTTGACTTAAGCTTATTTTTTACTTTGCTTCCTACTGTCATCAATATTCAGCAAAAGTGTAGTGAAATATGTATGATTTTAGTTATCAAATATCCAATATTCCTTCTTATTTTACAGAAAGTCCCCATTGTTTGTAGTATTAGCGGATGTATTGTCTTACCTCCCACAACAGAAATCGAAGATGGATGTTTTTTACCTCTCCACTCCCAGACAAAGAAGCATTTGATCCTTGCCTAACCAGCCGACCATACATTTGCTTCAAGGCCTTTGAATCTAGAGCACGCACCACAGAGGTGAGTTGATGGCTGAAATGTATTTTCTACTGCCACGGAGTCAGACACGGAAGCAGCAGTGAAATCCTGGCTCAACTGCTTTTGTTGCCAAGCTCTAGAATCCCTAGATCCTTATTTTCCAAGCCTCCCACCAATATTAGGTTCTTATGGTAAATCTCCTTTTTGTCTTACATAGCCAGAGTCGGATTCTGTTGAAAAGAAAAAAGCAAAAATCCTGAATAATAAAAGTGTTCTCAAAACTATTATTCTGTGTTCAATAAAAACACTGTCTAATTCATAATACTGCTGCGTAGCTTCATACGTTCATTCACACATTCATCTTCACAATTTGATTCTTTCATTTATTATCACTATGATTTGGTATAAAGTACACAGATTTTGCTATCAGGCCAACCTGGGTTCAAATTTCGACTTCAACATTTGGTATGTAATCTTGAGTAATATGTGATATAAACAAAAAATCCAGTTCAAAACTAAGTGCATAGAAGAAAGATCAATTAATTCAATATCAGAAAATGCATTATTATTAGGTTTGCCTCTAAGCAACTTTGTAATCTTGGGTAAATAAAAAGCTCCAATCTTATTGACCTAATCTAAAAAGAAAACGTTGTTCAGGATTATTTTTAAGGCCCTTTCTAGTTCTAAGATTCTATAATTCACACAAAATTCCATTTCACATTTCAAAACTGTGATTGTATTTTTCAATCTCGCCCTGTGTGTCTATGTGTGTTTGCAGGCACTAGGTATTATATAAAATTAGCCCATTCCTTTTTAAACAAAATATTTACTAATTTTTGTTATATATTGATAAATTGTGATTGTATATATTAATGGCGTAGAAAATGTTGTTATGATTTTTAATATAATGTGGAATTATTAAATTAAGCTAATGAAGATATCCATCACTTCAAATATTTAATAGTTTTTGTGATAAGAACATTTGAAGTTTACTCTCTGTGGTATTGAACTGCACAGTACTCAATTATTAGCTCTATTTTATGCCAGTCTGTTGGTCCTAGAAAAGTGTCACTATCATGGCATTTTATGGAAGAAATAATCAGCTTAGCTGGACCATAGACACTGTGTGTTCTGGGTGTGCCAACCACTCCTGACAGAGCTATCCTACTTGCTGCTCTTCTGCCTAGACCTCTCTACATTCCTTTCATTTTGTCCTGACTCAACTTGTCTTTAACGAGTCTTTAATATGTCAGTTTATGTTTTATTTCCTTTGGTAAACTTTCCTAAACCTCTCTCACCTTCTACTCCTAACCTTGATTGGTTTTCTCATGACAGGCATTTGTCACATGCTCTACTTCTTCTGTGTAGCATTCATTACAATTGTAACTTAAGAATGATTATTATTATTATTTAGTTAGTCTTCATGATAGCAGAATGTTGGTTTTAATTGTCTCCCTAGTATCTCACACTGTGCAAAGCCCACAGTGGGTACACAATAGATAATTGTTGAATTTGAGGAATGAAAGTTACTACCAAAATACAAGCCCATGTGTTTGATTCCAACTTCTGGCTCTCTCTACTCAGCTGTGCTGACCAGATAAAAGGGCTTAAGCTTCAGAACTGTAATGTGCAAAAAAGCCTTTGCAAGATCTGCCATGATTTTGGATCACAGTATCTTTCTTTTCCTAATGTCCTGGGAGTCACATGTTTTATTGGTCAGCATCTCAACTTGTAGCTGACTTCACTGTTCATTCAGGGTCAAGCTCATCCATCTTTTGATGATTTGCATAGGCTCTAATGGCTTTGTTTTGGATAGTTAGTGACAAGATAACTTTTAAGGACATTCTAGGGTTATAAGCCAACACATGGGAGCGATTCCAGAGTCTATCACTCTAATTAAAGGAATATTTCTCTAAGCGTAAAATTTACAATTTCCAGCCACTGATGGGTAACATTGGCACTCAAACTAGAGTTCGTGAATAATGTAAAAATGAAAGCCAGTATAAATCATCCCTCTATGAGAAAATAAATAGCATTGTCAGGCAAATAAAACGTGCATTTGTAAGTGATTTAAAGTGCCAAATAATTTGTAAGGTTCTCACCTCTTCATAAACAACTGGAGGGCCTAATACTTTGCAGGTACTTAGTCAATGCTACTGAATTGTAGATTGACTGAAATAGTTATTCTTAAGAGAGCCATTTCTCTGCTGTATACCTATTATTGATACTCAAGGCTTATAGAAAGAGCATGAATTTAATTCAAAACATTGAAAGAGAAGAAGCATACATGTGACTATCAAAGAAACAAAGTTCAAGATACACCAAAAAGTGGTTAAAGATTATTAAACAATTCTAATGTCCGTGGATAGAATGAAGTACATCCGTGTGACTAAGATGGAGATAGTGAAGTGCCTGGCACACATTATATCTGTGCTGCTTCATTCATTAAAATGCGATGAATGAAGGTTCACTTATACTTGGGATGGCTGGAAGGTTCACTGTCAGTGTTCCATATTTCTCTCCACTAAATATAAACAATGATAGTCAAAATGAAGAAAAATAGTAATAAAAATACTATCACACCCTAACACGAGATGAACCTTAGTGATGCATAAATGCAGAGCTGAAGTAAGCAACCTGCTTGGCTGCAGGCCTGAAACTTGCAAAGACAGCTAGGGTTAGACCATGCTTGGTATTGGGAGTAAAGATACTCACCTCGGAGGAAAGGATAGGTCAAATCTCACTATGTTTATGGCTAGAGCTCGATTAAGTCAAGAGAAGAATTTGAGTTAGGTCACCAAGTGTAATAGTGCCAATATTCCATCTTCTGGCTCTTTGTTGATGTCTCTCTGACACCTTTTTGCTGTTGTATTCTTACACTTTACTCTCTTTCTCACAGTTCTTTCTCTCACTGTGCCAGTCTTTTCCCCATGTCTATCTCCCTTTTTCTCTTTCTCACAAAATTTCTCACATTTGCTAAAAGAAACACTAAGAAAACACTGCTAAGAAAATATTTGCTAGAGAAAAACACTATTATCTGACCCAGGAAAATTGAAATTAGAACTGACAGCAAAATAATACATCAGAATTGATAAATAGAAACAATTTATTTTGGTCAAAAAACTGATTAATAAATTAAATTTTAATTAGCAATGTAATTAAGAAAGCAATAGTACCAATAAGAAAATCAGCAAAATAAAAATAAATTGACATATTTTCACTGTGGTATACAGAAAATCAATCAATGGAATAAAATGGAATAAAGGAATCTTTTGAGGAGGAGGAGCCAAGATGGCCAAATAGGAACAGCTCCGGTCTACAGCTCCCAGTGTGAGCGACGCAGAAGACGGTGATTTCTGCATTTCCATCTGAGGTACCAGGTTTATCTCACTAGGGAGTGCCAGAGAGTGGGTGCAGGTCATTGGGTGTGCGCACCGTGCACGAGCTGAAGCAGGGCGAGGCATTGCCTCACTAGGGAAGCGCAAGGGGTCAGGGAGTTCCCTTTCCCAAAGAAAGGGGTGACGGCACCTGGAAAATCGGGTCACTCCCACCCGAATACTGCGCTTTTCTGACGGGCTTAAAAAAACGGTGCACCACGAGATTATGTCCCGCACCTGGCTCGGAGGGTCCTACGCCCACGGAGTCTCGCTGATTGCTAGCACAGCAGTCTGAGATCAAACTGCAAGGCAGCAGCGAGGCTGGGGGAGGGGCGCCCGCCATTGCCCAGGCTTGCTTAGGTAAACAAAGCAGCCAGGAAGCTCCAACTGGGTGGAGCCCACCACAGCTCAAGGAGGCCTGCCTGCCTCTGTAGGCTACACCTCTGGGGACAGGGCACAGAGAAACAAAAAGACAACAGTAACCTCTGCAGACTTAAATGTCCCTGTCTGACAGCTTTGAAGAGAGCAGTGGTTCTCCCAGCATGCAGTTGGAGATCTGAGAACGGGCAGACTGCCTCCTCAAGTGGGTCCCTGACACCTGACCCCCGAGCAGCCTAACTGGGAGGCACCCCCCAGAAGGGGCACACTGAAACCTCACATGGCAGGGTATTCCAACAGACCTGCAGCTGAGGGTCCTCTCTGTTAGAAGGAAAACTAACAAACAGGACATCCACACCAAAAACCCACCTGTACATCACCATCATCAAAGACCAAAAGTAGATAAAACCACAAAAATGGGGAAAAAACAGAACAGAAAAACTGGAAACTCTAAAAAGCAGAGTGCCTCTCCTCCTCCAAAGGAACGCAGTTCCTCACCAGCAACAGAACAAAGCTGGATGGAGAATGACTTTGACGAGCTGAGAGAAGAAGGCTTCAGACGATCAAATTACTCTGAGCTATGGGAGGACATTCAAACCAAAGGCAAAGAAGTTGAAAACTTTGAAAAAATTTAGAAGAATGTATAACTAGAATAACCAATACAGAGAAGTGCTTAAAGGAGCTGATGGAGCTGAAAACCAAGGCTCGAGAACTACGTGAAGAATGCAGAAGCCTCAGGAGCCGATGCGATCAACTGGAAGAAAGGGTATCAGCGATTGAAGATGAAATGAATGAAATGAAGTGAGAAGGGAAGTTTAGAGAAAAAAGAATAAAAAGAAATGAGCAAAGCCTCCAAGAAATATGGGACTATGTGAAAAGACCAAATCTACATCTGACTGGGGTACCTGAAAGCGATGGGGAGAATGGAACCAAGTTGGAAAACACTCTGCAGGATATTATCCAGGAGAACTTCCGCAATCTAGCAAGGCAGGCCAACGTTCAGATTCAGGAAATACAGAGAATGCCACAAAGATACTCCTCGAGAAGAGCAACTCCAAGACACATAATTGTCAGATTCACCAAAGTTGAAATGAAGGAAAAAATGTTAAGGGCAGCCAGAGAGAAAGGTTGGGTTACCCTCAAAGGGAAGCCCATCAGACTAACAGCAGATCTCTCGGCAGAAATCCTACAAGCCAGAAGAGAGTGGGGGCCAATATTCAACATTCTTAAAGAAAAGAATTTTCAACCCAGAATTTCATATCCAGCCAAACTAAGCTTCATAAGCGAAGGAGAAATAAAATACTTTACAGACAAGCAAATGCTGAGAGATTTTGTCACCACCAGGCCTGCCCTAAAAGAGCTCCTGAAGGAAGCACTAAACATGGAAAGGAACAACCGGTACCAGCCGCTGCAAAATCATGCCAAAATGTAAAGACCATCGAGATTAGGAAGAAACTGCATCAACTAACGAGCAAAATAACCAGTTAACATCATGATGACAGGATCAAATTCACACATAACAATATTAACTTTAAATGTAAATGGACTAAATGCTCCAATTAAAAGACACAGACTGGCAAATTGGATGAAGAGTCAAGACCCATCAGTATGCTGTATTCAGGAAAACCATCTCACGTGCAGAGACACACATAGGCTCAAAATCAAAGGATGGAGGAAGATCTACCAAGCAAATGGAAAACAAAAAAAGGGAGGGGTTGCAATCCTAGTCTCTGATAAAACAGACTTTAAACCAACAAAGATCAAAAGAGACAAAAAGGCCATTACATAATGGTAAAGGGATCAATTCAACAAGAAGAGCTAACTATCCTAAATATATATGCACCCAATACAGGAGCACCCAGATTCATAAAGCAAGTCCTGAGTGACCTACAAAGAGACTTAGACTCCCACACATTAACAATGGGAGACTTTAACACCCCACTGTCAACATTAGACAGATCAACGAGAGAGAAAGTCAACAAGGATACTCAGGAATTGAACTCAGCTCTGCACCAAACGGACCTAATAGACATCTACAGAACTCTCCACCCCAAATCAACAGAACATACATTTTTTTCAGCACTGCACCACACCTATTCCAAAATTGACCACATACTTGGAAGTAAAGCTCTCCTTAGCAAATGTAAAAGAACAGAAATTGTAACAAATTATCTCTCAGACCACAGTGCAATCAAACTAGAACTCAGGATTAAGAATCTCACTCAAAACCGCTCAACTACATGGAAACTGAACAACCTGCTCCTGAATGACTACTGGGTACATAAGGAAATGAAGGCAGAAATAAAGATGTTCTTTGAAACCAATGAGAACAAAGACACAACATACCAGAATTTCTGGGATGCATTCAAAGCAGTGTGTAGAGGGAAATTTATAGCACTAAATGCCCACAAGAGAAAGAAGGAAAGATCCAAAATTGACACCCTAACATCACAATTAAAAGAACTAGAAAAGCAAGAGCAAACACATTCAAAAGCTAGCAGAAGGCAAGAAATAACTAAAATCAGAGCAGAACTGAAGGAAATAGAGACATAAAAATCCCTCCAAAAAATTAATGAATCCAGGAGCTGGTTTTTTGAAAGGATCAACAAAATTGATAGACCGCTAGCAAAACTAATAAAGAAAAAAAGAGAGAAGAATCAAATAGACGCAATAAAAAATGATAAAGGGGATAACACCACCGATCCCACAGAAATACAAACTACCATCAGAGAATACTACAAACACCTCTATGCAAATAAACTAGAAAATCTAGAAGAAATGGATAAATTCCTCGACACATACACTCTCCCAAGACTAAACCAGGAAGAAGTTGAATCTCTGAATAGACCAATAACAGGCTCTGAAATTGTGGCAATAATCAATAGCTTACCAACCAAAAAGAGTCCAGGACCAGATGGATTCACAGCCGAATTCTACCAGAGGTACAAGGAGGAACTGGTACCATTCCTTCTGAAACTATTCCAATCAATAGAAAAAGAGGGAATCCTCCCTAACTCTTTTTATGAGGGCAGGATCATTCTGATACCAAAGCCAGGCAGAGACACAACAAAAAAAGAGAATTTTAGACCAATATCCTTGATGAACATTGATGCAAAAATCCTCAATAAAATACTGGCAAAACGAATCCAACAGCACATCAAAAAGCTTATCCACCATGATCAAGTGGGCTTCATCCCTGGGATGCAAGGCTGGTTCAATATACGCAAATCAATAAATCTAATCCAGCATATAAACAGAGCCAAAGACAAAAACTACATGATTATCTCAATAGATGCAGAAAAGGCCTTTGACAAAATTCAACAACCCTTCATGCTAAAAACTCTCAATAAATTAGGTATCGATGGGACATATTTCAAAATAATAAGAGCTAACTATGACAAACCCACAGCCAATATCATACTGAATGGGCAAAAACTGGAAGCACTCCCTTTGAAAAATGGCACAAGACAGGGATGCCCTCTCTCACCACTCCTATTCAACACAGTGTTAGAAGTTCTGGCCAGGGCAATTAGGCAGGAGAAGGAAATAAAGGGTATTCAATTAGGAAATGTGGAAGTCAAATTGTCCCTGTTTGCAGACGACATGATTGTATATCTAGAAAACCCCATTGTCTCAGCCCAAAATCTCCTTAAGCTGATAAGCAAATTCAGCAAAGTCTCAGGATACAAAATCAATGTACAAAAATCACAAGCATTCTTATACACAAACAACAGACAAACAGAGAGCCAAATCATGAGTGAACTCCCATTCACAATTGCTTCAAAGAGAATAAAATACCTAGGAATCCAACTTACAAGGGATGTGAAGGACCTCTTCAAGGAGAACTACAAACCACTGCTTAAGGAAATAAAAGAGGATACAAACAAATGGAAGAACATTCCATGCTCATGGGTAGGAAGAATCAATATCATGAAAATGGCCATACTGCCCAAGGTAATTTACAGATTCAATGCCATCCCCATCAAGCTACCAATGCCTTTCTTCACAGAATTGGAAAAAACTACTTTAAAGTTCATATGGAACCAAAAAAGAGCCCGCATCGCCAAGTCAATCCTAAGCCAAAAGAACAAAGCTGGAGGCATCACACCACCTGACTTCAAACTATACTACAAGGCTACAGTAACCAAAACAGCATGGTGCTGGTACCAAAACAGAGATATAGACCAATGGAACAGAACAGAGCCCTCAGAAATAACGCCGCATATCTACAACTATCTGATCTTTGACAAACCTGAGAAAGACAAGCAATGGGGAAAGGATTCCCTATTTAATAAACGGTGCTGGGAAAACTGGCTAGCCATATGTAGAAAGCTGAAACTGGATCCGTTCCTTACACCTTATACAAAAATCAATTCAAGATGGATTAAAGACTTAAAGGTTAGACCTAAAACCATAAAAACCCTACAAGAAAACCTAGGCTTTACCATTCAGGACATAGGCATGGGCAAGGACTTCATGTCTAAAACACCAACAGCAATGGGAACAAAAGACAAAATTGACAAATGGGATCTAATTAAACTAAAGAGCTTCTGCACAGCAAAAGAAACTACCATCAGAGTGAACAGGCAACCTACAAAATGGGAGAAAATTTTCACAACCTACTCATCTGACAATGGGCTAATATCCAGAATCTACAATGAACTCAAACAAATTTACAAGAAAAAAACAAACAACCCCATCAAACAGTGGGCAAAGGACATGAACAGACACTTCTCAATAGAAGACATTTATGCAGCCAAAAAACACATGAAAAAATGTTCATCGTCACTGGCCATCAGAGAAATGCAAATCAAAACCACAATGAGATACCATCTCACACCAGTTAGAATGGCAATCATTAAAAAGTCAGGAAACAACAGGTGCTGGAGAGGATGTGGAGAAATAGGAACACTTTTACACTGTTAGTGGGACTGTAAACTAGTTCAACCATTGTGGAAGTCAGTGTGGCGATTCCTCAGGGATCTAGAACTGGAAGTACCATTTGACCCAGCCATCCCATTACTGGGTAAATACCCAAAGGACTATAAATCATGCTGCTATAAAGACACATGCACACGTATGTTTATTGCGGCATTATTCACAATAGCAAAGACTTGGAACCAACCCAAATGTCCAAAAATGATAGACTGGATTAAGAAAATGTGGCACATACACACCATGGAATACTATGCAGCCATAAAAAAGGATGAGTTCATGTCCTTTGTAGGGACATGGATTAAATTGGAAGTCATCATTCTCAGGAAACTATTGCAAGAACAAAAAAACAAACACCGCATATTCTTACTCATAGGTGAGAATTGAACAATGAAATCACATGGACACAGGAAGGGGAATATCACACTCGGGACTGTTGTGGGGTGGGGGGAGGGGGGAGGGATAGCATTGGGAGATATACCTAATGCTAGATGACGAGTTGGTGGGTGCAGCGCATCAGCATGGCACATGTATACATATGTAACTAACCTGCACAATGTGCACATGTACCCTAAAACGTTAATAAAAATAAAAAATAAAAAAAGGAATCTTTTGTAGAAAAAAAACTTTCTCGATGACATTTATTAGCAATTACATTATTTTGAATTTTTTTTCTTTTTTCCTTTTTTTTGAGACAGAGTCTCACTCTGTCACCTAGACATCTAGAATGTAGTGGTGCGATCTCAGCTCACTGCAACCTCCGTCTCCTAGGTTCAAGGGATCACTGCAACCTCCGTCTCCTAGGTTCAAGGGATCCTGCCACTTCAGCCCCCAGACTAGCTGGGACTATGGCACTACAGGCACATGCCAACATGCCTGGCTAATTTTTGTATTTTTAGTAAAGACAGGGTTTTACCATGTTGTCCAGGCTGGTCTTGAACTCCTGGTCTCAAGTGGTCAGCCTCCCAAAGTGCCAGGATTACAGGTGTGAGCCACTGTGCCTGGCCTTATATTATTTGAAATGTTTCGTTCAAACTAGTCTCTGAGTTAAACATTTGCAGCATCCAAATTCATCAAAATTATTCTAAACTTATTTTAGAAGTCACTCTAAATGATCTCTGAAACCGTTTTTATTTCTAACGCCTTGAGTTTTTCTATTTCTCACTATTTCAATAAAAAGCTTCTCATGAGATATAAAGGAAACACTCCTTGGTAGATCAGTACATTTTATAAGCTAAGACATTTTTAAACTTTCACAGCTCAGCGGTGGGGGACTTGAACACAGCCTGATCTTCAAGGAAATCAGGAACATACGGGATTTTACAGTGATGTTTGCAAACTTAGGTTGCCATAGATTCAACAAAAAATTGTCTATAAAACAGAAAGTAGCTTATTATAGAAAGAAAAAAAAAAGGTTAGCTAACTTCATCCCTATTTGGAACACTGATATATATATATATATTTATCCGATCACAGTTGTCGCTTATTTTATCTGAAAATGTTCACCCCCAGTAGAGTAAATGAGAGTGTTTCAGCCTTATAAAGATGCAAAGCTGTTCATGCTAGCATTAGTTTTCCCTGCTGGGGAGATCCAAGGTGCATGATTCAGTCAAACCATCACCAAGACCCAGCTATGATTATGATTATGTAGAAGAAACACATGCCTGGGAGGTCTCGGTTCTTCTCACGTATTTACAGAAAGCAAAAACTGTTCCTTTCAAATGAGTAACTGCGTAGACATTGTGCTGTTTCTTGGAAAAAACAGAAATAGACTTACCTGGAGATAAATGCCAGTCATTTTTTGCACTCCATGCCAAAAGTTAATGTATTAGTCAGGGTTCTCTAGAGGGACAGAATTAATAGGATAGATGTATATATAAAGAGGAGTTTATTAAGGAGAATTAACTCACATGATCACAAGGTAAGGTCCCACAATAGGCCATCTGACAAGATGAGGAGCAAGGAAGCCAGTCTGAGTCTCAAAGCTGAAGACCTTGGAGTCCGATGTTCAAGGGTCAGAAACATCCAGCATGGGAGAAAGATGTAGGCTTGGAGACTAAGCCAGTCTAGTGTTTTCACGTTTTCTGCCTGCTTTTATTCTGGCCATACTAGCATCTGATTAGATTGTGCCCACCCAGACTGAGGGTGGATTGGCCTTTCCCAGTCCACTGACACAAATGTTAATATCCTTTGGCGACACCCTCACAGACACACCCAGGAACAATACTTTGCCTCCTTCAGTCCAATCAAGTTGACACTCAGTGTTAACCATCACAGTTAATGTATAGGGAAGAAACAACTCAAAACATCTTCTTCTTCTTTTTTTTTTTTTTTTTTTTTTTTTTTGTGACAGAGTCTCACTCTAGTCATCCAGTCTGGAGTGCAGTGGCATGATCTCAGCTCACTGCAACCTCCGCCTCCGGGGTTTAACAGGGTTTAAGCAATTCTCCTGCCTCAGCCTCCTGAGTAGCTGGGATTACAGGCGCCCGCCACCATGCCCGGCTAATTTTTGTACTTTTAGTAGAGATGGGGTTTTGCCATGTTGGCCAGGCTAGTCTCGAACTCCTGACCTCAGGTAATCCGCCCACCTCAGCCTCCCAAAGTGCTGGGACTACATGCGTGAGCCACTGTGCCCGAACCCAAAACATCTTTTTTTATACTTCAGACAAAAAAAAAAAAAAAAAAAACCAGCATTGCTGAAAATGAGTATGTATGTTCTAAGGCATTACTCCTTTGGAATGCCTGTCTAGTCTTGCTAACCCACCCCTCTTCATGGGAGTCTCTTTTTACCCATATTTCCCTCCTATATCCAACAAGTATCAATATATGTAACCTGAATCCTTTTTTTGTACACACTTAAAAGGAAACTTCTGGATAAACATACCTTGTCCAAGGTTGTTACTATGGAAGTTGTTACTTAGACAAGGATTGTATTTATAGTAGTTTTATGCTTGTAAGCAAGGTCTTTATACGCTCATGATGGGCCAGAACATCTCAATATGGCGAGATATTTTCATACAGTGAAGCATTATTATAAGGAATATTAAATCAACTGTGATAGTAGGTATATAGATGAATAAGAATGAACCTTCCAGAAAGGATTAGTGGATGTCTTCATGTATTTGGATAACTAGCTCATCCACATAAATAAGTATTTAGTTTAAAAGCAAAAGTTTGTATCATTGGACATACTTGAAAAAGAAACAGAGTTCATATCCTTGTTATCTTCGCATCTTCTGTAAATAGAAATCATCTTGACTTCAAGCACATTAGAATTCTCGGTATTTGTTATCTGGCTAGAAGATTTATCAGCCATGACTACATCTGGTTTCAAGAAACAGAAAACCTGAAAAACTATCGCCTAAACAAGCAGCAGGTTTGTTTTATTCCTCTCAAAGAAAAAGGTCCAGAAAGAGGTGGTCCAGGGCTGGTTTGCTGGTTCCACGACAGGACCTAAATGTCTTCTATTGTGTTTTGCTGCTGCACTGGCCTTAGTAGGAGCTTTCAGCTTTATGCTCACATCAACCAAAATTAAGGCTGTTGAGGCAGAAATATTTTGATAAAGGTTTATTGGAAGCCAAATGTGAGAATCAACCCTGGAAGACACACCAACAAAAATGAGTATGTTCCAGAGTCTGTTGCAAGTTGGGAGGCTTTTATGAAAAGTTTAGAGAAAAGGAAGTGGAATCCTCAAACTGGAGTTGTCCTTTTCACTGGAGAGTATAATACAAAGGTTACAATCCTAGGCTACAGATTACAACAAACACGCTAAAATGTTTTACATTTAAATTAAATGCAAAACAATCAGTAAAACTTCATGAATCAGAAAAACTTCATGATTCAGAAATAGTCAGAAATAAGTCAGTCTCCTTTTCAATGTCAGTAAGTTACGTCTTAATCGATATGTCAAAAGTTTGAGGAACTCAAGATAATATTTGAGGAATTCGCTTATGATCTTTACTCAGGAATAGGATGTAAGCCAGGAATCATGAAACCTCCCCTGGGCAAGTCATATTCATATATAGATGACTAGTGGGTGGGTGGCAGGCTGGAGAGGCACACTCTTACACTAGGCAAGTGAATTTAGAAGCCTGCCAAATGTGACCTGTAGATTATCACTCACAAAATGGCAGCAACAACTCTAAGTATCATTATCATGTTCCAGGCAGGAGGAAGGCTAAAAGAAAAGGATAAGGAGAAATGAGATATATGCCAAGTGATTTCTCATCTTTATCTGGAATGCAATAGCTTTCCCAAAGGCTCTAACCACTAATTCCATTTATATTTCACCTTCCAGAATGGGATCTCATGGCCAACCCTTGCTGTAGGACAGCATCTAGAAAAATCATGATTGTATTCATACATATTACCTTTTCCCAAATGAAAGAAGAGTAGAATGGCTATAGGGAAGGCAATTATCAGTAACCTTTGGAGAGAGAAGGAACTTTCTATATATATAGATGACTAGTGGGTGGGTGGCAGTCTGGAGAAGCACACTCTTACACTGCAGAGAAGACGTTTCATTGTCTGGTCTTAGGAGCTTAAATTTACCCACCTTTCACAAAAGAGGTCATTTTGTGTGACTGTTGTCACAAGTACTTCCCTGTACCTGTTTCTCCTTGTTCACCTAGAAAATTATTTTTCATCAACATTCAGATGAGATGTCATCACATCCACATGGAAACCTTATCCTGCTCCATCAGAAAAAATTTGTTGAATGTACTAGAAATTGAGTTCACTGAAGGCAATAGCTCCATCTTCTTTGTATTTTCAACCCTTAGACTAATGCCTTGGTGGCTTACTTAATTTATCTACCATGTGTGGACTGCAGATATTACACATTTCCAGTTAAGGTGTATGAATGATTGGCTATCTCACATAATTTCTAGGGCTAATTATAAAAAGGGTCCAAATATTTTTTGCTAGTTTTGGAACAGTTCAAATACACGGAAGAGTGAGAACCTGTGCTTTGGTGTTGTAAACCATAAAGCAAAATACACAAAATCAAATGTCCTTTTGGATAATGAGACCTAATCAAATGTACAGAGAGATTGAGTCCTAGCAATAGGTTAACCAGTGGGTACATGTCACTCCTAAGGACATTCCAATGTGAAATATTTACCTATTTTGCTGGCCAAGGAAGACTCATTTTTGCTTGAATTTGATCAATGGGCCAATAGTTTAAACATTTGGCAAAAGACATTACATTAAAAAATATTGGCCAAAAATTATAAAATATTTCAACAATATTGATTTATATATTTCTAATTGATAAATAATATTTGTGTATATATTATGAGGTACAATGTAATGTCTTGATCTCTGTGTGAAAGAGCACATTAAGCTAATTAACATATCCATCACTTCATCTAGTTATCCTTTTTTTTGTATGTGGTAGAATGCAAAAAATCAATTCTGTCAGCAATTTTGAAACACACACTAACTTATAATTAACTGTGGTCACCATACAGTGCAATAGATACTAAAACATTTCTCCTGTCTAACAGAAGCTGATCAATATCTCCTTTTTCCCCCATGCATCCCGAAAACCCTCAGCCTCTGGTAAAATCCTTTCTATTCTCTCTTTCTATGAGATTGACTTTTTAGATTCCACATATGAGATTTTATAGTATTTGTCGATAAGATTTAGCTGCGTCCCCACCCAAATCTCATTTTGAATTGTAGCTCCCATAATCCCCATATGTTGTGGGAGGTAATCAGTGGGAAGTAATTGAATCATGGGGATGGGTTTTTCCCATGCTGTTTTTGTGATAGTGAATAAATCTCAGGAGAACTGATGGTTTTATAAAGGGAAGTTCCCTTGCACATGCTCTTCTTGCCTGCCACCATGTAAGAGGTGCCTTTGCTCCTCCTTTGCCTTTCACCATGATTGTGAGGTCTCATGTGGAACTGTGAATCCATTAGACCTATTTTTCTTTATAAATTACCCAGTCTCGGGTATTTCTTCATAGCAGTATGAAAATGGACTAATATGCTTGTCTTTCTGTACCTGGCTTATTTAACTTAGCATAATGTCCTCCAGGTCCATCCATGTTGTTGCAAATGATAGCATTTTCTGCCTTTTTAGGGCTTCATTGTGTGGTACACACTTTTTCTTTATATATCCATTTCTTTCTTTGTGTGTGTGTGTGTGTGTGTGTGTGTGTGTGTGTGTGTGTGCGTGTGTGTGTGTGAGATGAAGTTTCACTTGTGTTGCCCAGGCTGGAGTTCAATGGTGTGATCTCGGCTCACTGCAACTTCTGCCTCTCGGGTTCAAGTGATTCTCCTGCCTCAGACTCCCGAGTAGCTGGGATTACAGGCATGCACCACCACGCCCAGTTTATTTTATATTTTTGGTAGAGACAAGGTTTCTGCATGTTGGTCAGGCTGGTCTCAAACTCCCGACCTCAGGTGATCCACACACCTCAGCCTCCTAAAGTGCTGGGATTACAGGCATGAGCTGCAATCCCATGGGGGATTACATCACATGTGGGCAGGTTCCATGATGCCCCCTGAGCTGTAAAATTAGCAAATTTTTGTTAGTGATTTTCAAAAGGGAAGGGAGTGTATGAAGAGGGTGTGGGTCACAGAGATCACGTGCTTCACAAGGTAACAGAATATCACAAGGCAAATGGAGGCAGGGTAGGATCACAGGACCACAGGACGGGGGCGAAATTAAAACAGCTAATGAAGTTTTGGGCATGCATTGTCATTGATGACATCTTATCAGGAGACAGCGTTTGAGAGCAGACAACCGGTCTGACCAAAATTTATTAGGTGGGAATTTCCTCGTCCTAATAAGCCTGGGAGTGCTACAGGAGACTGCGGCTTATTTCATCCCTACAACTTCGACCATAAAAGATGACCACCCCCTGAAGTGGCCATTTTAGAGGCCTACCTTCAGGGATGCATTCTCTTTCTCAGGGATGTTCCTTGCTGAGAAAAAGAATTCAGTGATATTTCTCCCATTTGCTTTTGAAAGAATAGAAATATGGCTCTGTTCCACCTGGCTAACCGGCAGTCAGAGTTTAATGTCATCTCTCTTGTTCCCTGAAATTTGCTGTTATCCTGTTCTTTTTTCAAGGTGCCCAGGTTTCATATTGTTTAAACACTCATGCTCTACAAACAATTTGTGCAGTTAACGCAATCATCACTGGGTCCTGGGGTGACATACATCCTCCTCAGTTTATGAAAATGACCGGATTAAGAGATTAAAGACAGGCATAGGAAATCACAAGGGTATTGATTGGGGAAGTGATAAGTGTCCATGAAATCTTCACAATTTATGTTCAGAGATTGTAGTAAAGACAGGTGTAAGAAATTATAAAAGTATTAATTTGGGTTACTAATAAATGTCCATAAAATCTTCACAATCTATGTTCTTCTGCCATGGCTTCAGCCAGTCCCTCCGTTCGGGATTCCTGACTTCACACATCAGGGTTACATTCAATCTGCACATTGCTTTGGGTTTGTACATTTTAAAAATATTAATTCTTCTAATCCCTGACCACAAAATATCTTTCCACTTCTTTGTGTCTTTAATTGTTTTTTCATCAATGTTTTATAGTTTTCAGTATACAGGTCTTTCATCTCCTTGATTAAATTTACTCCTAAGTAATTTTTTTGGTGCTATTTTTAAATGAGATTGTTTCTTTATTTTGTAGTTTGTTGTTAGTGTATAGAAATTCCACTAATTTTTGTATGTTGATTTTGAAACCTGCCTCTTTACTGAATTTGTTTAACAGTGTTGGAAGGATTTTGGTTGAGTCCTTATGGCTTTCTCTATATAACATCACGTGATCATCAAACAGAGACAATTTTACTTCTTTCTTTTCTATTTGAGCATCTTGTATTTTTCTTGCTCAATTTTACTAGCTGGAACTTACAGTACTATGTTGAAGACTAGTGATTAGAGTGGGCATCCTTTTCTTATTTCTGATCTTAGATGAAAAGCTTTCAACTTTTCACCATTGAGCATAATGTTAATTGTGAACTTGTCATTTATGGTCTTTATTGTGTTGAGGTAAATTTCTTCTGTATCTGTTTTGTTGAGAAGTTTTATCATGAATGAATGTTAAATTTGCCAAGTGACTTTTGCATCTGTTGAGATGACGATGCAGTTTTTGCCTTTTATTTTGCTAATGTGGTGTATCAAGTGTATGAATTATATATGTTGAATCATCCTTGCATCTCTGGGATATACCTCACTTGATCATGGTGAATGATCACTTTAATGTGCTATTGAATTCAGTTTGATAGTATTTTATTCAAGATTTTTATAATATGCTCATCAGAAACATTGGCCAGTAATTTTCTTTTCTTGTAATATCCTTGTCTGGCTTTAGTATCAGGGTACTGCTGGCCTCATATAATTAGTTTGAAAGTATTCTCTCCTTTTTAATATATTTAAGAAGAAGTCTTACCAGTCTCATCTACAACACTGATAGACAATCTCATAAATCATCTATAAAAATATTTATTTTTACTTAATGTAGAATCCAAGTAAAATCTCTGAAAGCAATCATTTGTTTGCAAATCAAATACCTGTGTCAGTGAATTAGCTTATCCACTATAGAGAACTGTTGGGTATAAGACAGTTACATTTTGGAGAACATTTGCAAATAACATGGCATATGATAGAGGTTTAAAAATAATTTTTATTGAATACATAACTAAATGAAATAATGACAGTGATGTTTTTAAAAGCAAGGTCAGTCATACACTAATTTTACAGAGTATATTATTTCAACAGTACTTGTTTGTTGATTTACTATATTAATGAGTAAATAAATGCATTTTTAAAAGATTTAACCCTATGATGGGTTATACACTAACTAACCTCACATGAATTCATGATACTTGTGATAGTTTAAACTGTTGCTTCACTTATTTATGTCCCTGGGCAACTATACTCTGTCATGCCTCACTATGGGTGACTGTGCTGTCCTGATCTCTTGACTTTGGCCTCTGCTTTTTTTTAATCTGCTTTGGTCAGTGGCATGAAGGCAGAAGTGACAATGCTCCAGTTCTGAGTCTATGCCATGAAAGCTTGATATATTTCCTCTATTTTTTCTGTACTTCTGATACTTCCATAAAAGAAAAACATACAAAAACAACTAACTAATATATAGAGATTTGGCCAGTTTAAGATAAATATGTCTTTTTATAAAAAAAAATAGATCTTAATGAAACTCCAGTAACATTAAAAAAAAAATCCCTACATAAGGATTGAAACTCTAGCCCCATTAAAGTGCTAATAAAACTTTTAACAATTTTGTTTCCTATTGAAATTTTTTGTGAGGCTTTTTACAAGAATCTTATTATTTGACAACCAAGATATTGTGAAAAAAATAATTTTAGAGCATACATAAAAAATTAATATATTTAATTTATCTTACATTTTTCATGCTAAAAATATCAAAGGCCTCTAAATATTCTATATTCTTGCAAGGGAAGGACACTCATTCCTCTAATAAAAAAGAGTATTTTTCCATTGACCACTTTTAATCAAAAACAATTTAACTCTCTCCCTTCTGTTCCAGCCATGTGAAGTGCTGGCTCCCCCTTTAACTTTCACCATAGTTATAAGTGTCCTGAGGCCTTCTCAGAAGCTGGACAGATGCATCATGCTTCCTGTACAGCCTGCAAAACCATGAGTCAGTTAAACCTCTTTTCTTTAGAAATTACCCAGTTTCAGGTATTTCTTCATAGTGATGCAAGAACAGACTAATACAGAAAATTGGTACTGAGGAATGGGGCATTGCTATAAAGAGACCTGCAAATGTGGAAGTGACTTTAGACCTGGATAACGGACAGAGGCTGGAAGAATTTGGAGGGCTCAGAAGAAGACAGGAAGATGAGGGAAGGTTTGGAACTTCCTAATGATTTGTTGAATGGTTGTGACCAAAATGCTGATAGTGGTCTGAACAATGAAGTCCAGGCTGAGGATGTCTTAAATGGAAATGAAGAACTTATTGGGAACTGGAGCAAAGGTAACTTTTGTTCTGCCCTAGTGAATAACCTGGCTGCATTTTGCTGCTGCCCTAGGGAATCTGCGGAAATTTGAACCTGAGAATGATTATTTATAGTATCTGGCAGAAGAAATTTCTAAGCAGGAAAGTATTCAAGACTTCGCCTAGCTGCTTCTAAATGGCTATGCTCATGTGCATGAGCAGAAAAACCCATAAAAATGAAACTTATATTTAAAGGGGAAGCAGAGTGTAAAAGTTTGGAAAATTTGCAAACTGGCCACGTGGTAGAAAAAAAATGCCCATTTTCAGGGAAGAAACTTAAGCAGGTTGCAGAAATTTGTATAAGTAAAGAGCAGCCAAGTGCTAATAGCCAACACAATGCAGAAAAGGCCTCAAAATCATTTCAGAAACCTTCAAGGAGACCCTCTCATCACAGGCTTGAAAGCCTAGGAGGGGAGAATAATTTCATGGGCCAGATCCAGGGCCCTACTGCTCTGCACAACCTCTGGACACTGCTCCCTTCATCCTGGCCACCCTAATTACAGCCATGGCTAAAAGGCACCCAGGTACAATTTGATCCACTGCTTCAGAGTATTCAAGCCATAAGCCCTGGCATCTTCCATGTGGTGTTTATCCTACAGGTGCACAGAGTGCAAGAGTTGAAGCTTGGGAGCCTCTGTCTAGATTTGTGAGGATATATGGAAAAGCCTGTATGTCCTGGCAGAAGCCTGCTGCAGGGGTGGAGCCCTCATGGAGAACCTGTACTAGGGCAGTGCAAACGGGAAATGTTGAGTTGGAGTCTCCACACACAGTCCCCACTGGGACACTGCCTAGTGGAGCTGTGAGAAAAGGGCCATCATCCTTCAGACCCCAGAATGAAGTGGATTCACTGGCAGCTTGCACCCTGTAGCTGGAAAAGCTATAGGTATTCAGTGCCAGCCCATGAGAGCAGACACAGGGACTGAACCCTGTAAAGCCACAGGAGTGGAGCTGCTGAAGGCCTTGAGAGCCCAACCATTGCATCAGTTTGCCGTGGATGTGGGACATGGAGTGAAAGGAGATTATTTTGGAGCTTTCATATTTAGTAACTGCCCTGCTTCATTTTAGACTTGCATGGGGCCTGCAGTTCCTTTCTTTTGGCCAATTGCTTTATTTTGGATTAGGAATATTTATCCAATGCCTATACTCCCATTGTATCTTGGAAGTAACTAACTTTGTTTTTTTGTTTTGTTTTGTTTTGCTTTTTTTTTTTTTTGCAGGCTTATAGGTGGAAGGCACTTGCCTTGTCTCAGATGAGACTTTGGACTTTTGAGTTAATGATGGAATGAGTTTAGACTTTAGGAGACTGTTGGGAAGGCATGATTGTATTGTTGTATTGTGAAATGTGAGAAGGACATGAGATTTGGGAGGGGTCAGAATGATATGGTTTTGATCTGTGTTCCTCCTCAAAATCTCATGTTGAATTGTAATTCCCAGTTTTGGAGGTTGGGCCTTTGGGAGGTGATTGGATCATGGAGGTGGTCCTTTATGAATGGTTTAGCACCATCTTCTTGGTGCTGTTCTTGTGATAGAGTTTTCATAAGATCTGGTTGTTTAAAAGTGGGTAGCACCTCTCCCTCTCTGTCTTCCTTCTGCTCTGGATGTGTGAATTTCTGGCTCCCTCTTTACTTTCTGTCATGATTGTAAGTTTTCTGAGACTTCTTCAGAGGCCAAGCAGATGCCAGCATAGTGTGTCAGTACACCTTGTGGAACCATGAGCCAATTAAGCCTTTTTTCTTTATTGAAAAAAATATATTTTTTTTTCTTTTGAGATGGCGTCTTGCTCTGTCACCCTGGCTGGAGTGCAATGACATGATCCTGCTCACTGCATGCAACCTCTGCTTCCCGGGTTCAAGCAATTCTCCTGCTTCAGCCTCCTGAGTAGCTGGGGTTACAGGTACCTGCCACCGCACCCAGCTAATATTTGTATTTTTTAGTAGAGATGGGGTTTTGCCATGTTGGTCAGGCTGGTCTCTAACTCCCGAACTCAAGTAATCCACCCACCTCGGCCTCCCAAATTATTGGGATTACAGGTGGGAGCCACTGTGCCCAGCCAAAAAAATAATAATTTAAAAGAGAAATGGAATTAGCATTCTGTGAGACAAATGCAATACATACATTGTTCATACTTACTTTACTTCACTCTTTACTATAAGCAATATAATGAGTAAGCTTTGTTACTTTTACTTTGCAATAGGAAAACTGAGACTCCGTGAGTTTGAGTAAGTTGCCCTAAATCATTCAGATAAAAAAATGCATAGATGAAATTTGAAATCAGGTCTTCAGGTCTGCATGAAACCAAGTTTTGTGCTCATTTATCTCTACTAAATCGAATGTCAGAAAATAAATTAGGAATAAAAGGATAATTAAATGCTAAAATAATTTTAAACATACCAGAAAGTAATCTCTGACATGAAGATGTTAGGAGGAGAAAGGGGTTAAAAATAAACAATTCTAGTTAAGAATAAACAATTCTTAGAATTGTCAACCTGTGTTTAGAAGATGGAACATGAAGAAGGTATTAATATTTTGGTACTGGCCTAGCATAAGAAAGACTCCAGTCCAAGAAGTTTATGATGGTGTGGCCTATGTTCTACATCCCCAGATATTGACAGGGATAAACTTTCAGCTGTTATGCCATGTCCCATTGTGTAGAGACAAGATGATTCCAGGTGATGCAAAGATGTAGCCTTAAAGAATGTTGAACTACATAATTGAAGAAGTTATGCTTTCATAATTTCTGAATACTTAACAGAGTTGTAATCATTGACAAAATGTGACAATAGACAAAATCGAGAACAGTAATGTCATCACCTCCTAGTAAGCTCCAGTTTGTGTCTCCTCTCCATCTTTAATTCTTCTCCCCTTTTCAAAGTTAACCATTAACTTCACTTCTAAAATCACAAATTCACACTTCCTGTTTTTGAATTCCTTGTAGATTAAATTATATAGTATGCATTTGTGTCTGGCTTCTTTCACACCACATCATGTAGGTCCCTTCAATTATCTTCTGGCCCAGCCCTCAGACTCTTGCCTGAGATCAAGAGTATTCAGTGAAGAATAATAAAATATTTTTAAAGAAACTCTTTCACAAAGAATTTGTCCAAAATCTTCTGCAGGGATAACTGATCAGCAGTGTTAAAGGAGGTGTGCTTGTGGCACACGTCTGCACATTTGATATAAAAAATGCAGAGCTTTGTTCCAGAAATGGGTGAGCACCAGAAGCAGTGAGGGTGGTACTAGGATAGGCAAAACAGGAATATTGGCAACTTTGGGGGTATTAACTCTATAACTGGTGCCTTAGGAGAGGTCATCACAGTGAACCAAAGCCGGAGATGGGAAAGCAGTGTATGCCATGAATCTGGAAGATGGCTGACCTCTTGGGAGTTCTCAGAACTCTCTGGAGGAATTTGAAGGAAATGAAGTTTCTTTAGAGCTGAGCCACAGAAACATAATATTATTTATTGTTTACTATATTATATATAAATATGTTACATATATTTTACACACATGCATGCACACACACACACACACAAGGCTGGAACTGCTTTGGAAATAGTTATGTATGCTTTTGAGACTGGGAGATCTAGGGTAAGGGTCTAGCAGCTGAGAACAATAAGGATAAATGCTTTCTCCTAAAAACAGTTTTTTTTTTCTTAATCTCACAAACTTATGATTCTGTATTGGTATGCTAATGATGCAAAAACATGGAATTTTTCTTTAATATAAATCATACTAATTTTCATGTGCATGCTACCAATATTTTGATAATAAATTTTTAAAGTCACTCCTGTATTTGCTTTATACCCGGGTTATTTAAAACAAAGATTTAAAAGTGGATAAAAGGCCAGGCAAGGTGGCACACACCTGTAATCCCAGTACTTTTGGAGGCTGAGGTGGGCGGATCTTTTGAGGTCAGGTGTTCGAGACTAGCCTGGCCAACATGGTGAAACCCTGTCTCTACTAAAAATACAAAAATTAGCCCGACGTGGTAGCACATGCCTGTAGTCCCAGCTACTCAGGGGGCAGAGGTGAGAGAATTACTTGAACCTGGGAGGCAGAAGTTGCAGTGAGCCAAGATCGTGCCAGTACACTCTGGCCTGGATGACAGAGCAAAACTCCGTCTCAAAAAGAAAAAAAAAAGTGGTTAAAAGTATCACAAACTGAACTGATTTCTTTCTATTGTTTCTCACAATATCTTAGCAACTGAGACCATTGAAACTTATTTTTCTATTGAAAATTTTGTAGCATTGAAAATGTGTCTTATATGTAAAGAGAAATATAAGAAAAGAAGTAAAACAGCTTACCATAAGAAAGGGTTTCTTTTTTTAACCCAGATTCTGCATTTCCCTGTATCTTTAAAGCTACATAAACTGATCATTACTAAGACAATTCAGTTAGAGACTAGATGTTAATAAAAAAAAGCATTTGGTTAATATTCTTGGTGATTAGGTTTCACATCCTTAAGTCTTTATCGAAAAATACCTTTATTCCCTTAATTTCTCTAAGAACAAAACTAATATCACAAAATGTAAAATGAAAATTGTGATGGGCTGCTCAAAAAATTGATCAGAAGTCACACTCATTTCAGAAAAAGAAAGCGCAGCAGCAGCAGAACCATCACAAACACTATTCAATTTTAAATTTGATTTTCAAGATAATGCAAGTCAAACCATTTGCCCAAATATGTAACAACCACACACAATAAAACTCATATAGTTATCCTACAGTACCCACATCAGTCACTTCCACAGACATGTTCCCCAGGTTGCTGTAAAACAAAAGACCCAAAATAGTTTAAGAAGGGAAAAATTTCAGAGAGATATTTGAAAAACAGAATAGCAATAGATTTTGCTTTTGATTTGCTGACTTGAAATTAGAGATATGATTTTAAATTATGGAAACCACCAAATTGTACCAGAACTGGCAAATGTATATATACTGAGAACTCTGTACATAGCCTTTGTAGCTCTGGAGGGAAGCTCAAAGAATCCTTACTTTTGTGATAGGAAAGAAGCTAAAAATCTTGACCCACAGTCACTTTAACACACAATAGAAGTGTTTGCTGTGGCATGCTCTAAGCTGCACTCTTTGTCCCAGCATAGTTTTGGCAGGTCATTGCATTCTCAAAAAGTGGCTAGAAAATACTAAGTTAAATTAATATGATTAAGCTTTGTCTCATAAAATTCTTCCACTGTTTCACATCTGTTAATCACATCTATCCCTATAGGATTAAATGTTCTTGGAAAACAATACCTAAATTATTTGTTGTTTGTTTCTTAGATGGAGTCTAGCTCTGTTTCCCAGGCTGGAGAGCAGTAGTGCAATCTCGGCTCACTGCAACCTCCACCTCCTGGATTCAAGCCTTTCTTGTATCTCAGACCCCCAAGTAGCTGGAATTACAGGTGCCCATCACCACGCCTGGCTAATTTTTGTATTTTTAGTAGAGATGAGGTTTTGCCATGTTGGCATGGCTGGTTTCGAACTCCTGACCTCAGGTGATCTGCCTGTCTTGGCCTCCCAAAGTGCTGGGATTACAGGCATGAGTCACCATGCCTGGCCAACAAGACCTAAATTTTTAATATTTCTAAATACATTTCATGAGATACATAGAGCACACCTAATCCTTCCTCTCTCTTCTCCTTTGTTTTACGATTTTTCATAATCTGATTACAATATTAGTATTGATAATTATAGAAAATGAAAAAAGCACAGAACAACATGAGAAAAAAAAACAAATATTGCCTGTACTATCACTATCCAGAGAAAGCCCCTGTTAATATATTGGTGCAATTTATCCCACTTCCACCCCTACATCTTTGGCACTTCTAAAAAAAGCATGGGCTTAAAAATTCTATTTGTTTATTCTTTTTATATAATTGGAATCATTCTAATTTTTTCACCCATCATTAAATGTTCTTTGGTACCATGATAGCATGGCTACATAATTATCCATTTGTGGCAGAGTTAGCTAGCTCTTCATTGAAGACTGACACTTCTTTTGCATGGCATACAGACTCAAAGACAACCACATTTTTCAGCCCTTTTGAAATCTAAATTGTATCATGTGATTGCATTTTGACTAATGAAGTATGTACAGAAATGTTTAGGCCATTTATAGTTTAAGTACATAAGAACGTCTTTCATAAACTTCTACTTTTTCTTTTTTCCTTATCTGTCAAATTGACATCAATGCCAAGAGATACCTGGGAAAGCACATGTTATGAATGGCAGGGCTCTCATCTGGCTGGATCCCTGAATGACTGCATGGATTAGATTCCTTTACTCCTGCCTCACCTTCTGTTTTTATACTATGTAAGAAAAAAAATGCTTTCCACTCTGTTAAACCAGTAAAATTTGAGGTTTATTGTTAGAGTAGCAAACATAACCTTAAACAAAACACTATAATCTATAAATAAGTCATAATTTAACTTAACTATTATTGAGTGGTTTTCAAATTTTTCTACAGTAATTATGATATTTGGAAATAAATCTTTGTACATACACTACACCTTCAGGACAAATTCATAGAAACTATATTGTTGGATTTCAGTGAAGAAACATTATGGCTCCTGGTGCAGACAGCCCCTGAACTAAATATAAAAGTTAAAAAACAAAAGTTTTGAAACAATGTACACTTCAACAAATTGTGAATTCCTGGTTCTTTGGATTCTCAGTCTTTCCCAATCTCCTTCCATTATTATAGGTGAAAAAATATTGTTTTTATTTCTTGAATTATACCTGTGGTTATATACTTTTTCTTTTTGTTCTTCCTTTTTCATTATAAAGGTGTGTGTTTCCCCATTTACATTTATTTATAAGACTAATATCGTTACCATTCATGCCCTGATTCTAAATATAATCACTCATGAACTTGTGTGTTAGAGTTGCTTTTGCTGCTGTAGAAGATTTAGCATGCCATTATGAACCTTAGCATCACTTTTTTATGGCCTATTCTTACTATTTCTGGGGTCTACCCATTGGTCTAGACTTGAGTCAAAGTGCTTGATCTCTACCTAGATCATCTATTGGGATTGAAGTCCTCATCTGAACAGGCCTCTGAGATGATGTTCTGACAATTTGACTGGTACTTCTAGCCCTTCTTTCTAGTAACCCTTTCTAGATTACATGGCACGCACTCCTGGTAATTTACTTTGTTTATAGTGACTCCTGCATCATTGCAAGTCTAGTCACTACTTGGAGACATCTGATGCTTTTATATTCATTAATTTATTCATTTATTCTAAAAGTAAATATTTATGGGTTGCCTCCTATAGTCAGGCATTTAAGAAACATTAGTATTACTTTGGTAAATAAAAATGCATGGTTCCTCCCCTCATAAAGCCTAGAGGCTTTATATGTGAAAAGAGAAGGAGCAAATAGACAGTGAGAGGAACATATGAACAAGAAAACACGTCAGTAAATGTATAATTGTTGAAAACAAAAACTAGATAAGTCAAGAGGTTGATTTTATTCAGGCTATTAAATTAGAGTGCTCCCAGATTCAAAGATCAGAGTGTTCCACCAAGGTGGTTTTGCCTTAGATTTTTATCAGGAGAGATAGATAACTTGCAGACAGGGTGGTTTGAAGTCCAGGTTGTTTTGTAGGCAGGGGAAGCTGAAGTTAGTTATTTGAACAGGACATGTTTTTCTTTGCAGATGGCTAGTTTTAAGACAATTAGTTTAGAATAAACGGTTCTAATCTTAGCAATCAATCATGACCAACTGTTCTGATTTTAGCTAATCAATCATGAGATAAAAAACAGGAAGTTGATGGAGGGTTCTCTGTCTGGCTTATCCACAGAAGAACATGGAATAGTCAAGGAAATTGTAAAGGCCAATATAGGTGAAATCAGTACAAGGAAGAGAGACAAGAGACGTCAGATCATAAAATACCACCCAGGAAAAGGTAGTGAGTTTTTACACTATAGTAAGGGCAGTGAGGAGTCACTGAACTATGTTGATGAAAGAAGTACTATGGTCTCAGTGATGCTTAGAAAGATCACTATAAGTGCTATTTGGAAAATTAATCAGGTCAGCAGGGGATACAAAAATAAGAAAAGAGATTGGTGATAAAACTATTATAGTAATCCAGATAAAGAAAGATAATAGCTTGTATTAGGCTGGTATCCATCCATGGACTAATCAGATGACTTGCATTTTATTCTCATAGCTATATTGCTATATTTTTACACCTCTTTGGAGAAGAGAATTTAGAATTTTGTCCATCTCCTCTGCGCACTACACGCCTATGAGGCCAGTCTTCAAGGTAAAGCTCCACCGGGCCTCAATTTCTTCTCTTTCACATCAATTATTATGGTTGCACTGTAGCTTGTAGTCACACTGGATATGGTTCCTACTGTCATCTTTCTGTACCATGTTCCACATCCCACATCACTCTGCACCTGGATTTTTTTTTTGTAGTAAATAAACTTTATTTATCTCTTTCTCAGCGATGACACCACCAACAGTCACGGCCTTGCATACAATACAGTTATGCATTGGCTATTTACAATTTATGACAGTGTTTTTTCCTCCAAAAAATATAAGTACAAAAGCTAAGTAAACAATGAGGTACTGTCATTTGAGATTTATTACATGTCTTAGCTTAAAAAACTGGTCTTCAGCAAATATACAACAAATCAACCTGAATAAAATAGTCAATTAAATGCTCTAATTTAACAGAAAAAAAAATCACTAAATTTCGCCTCAAAATGTATTGCACAAGTCTTTTTAAAAAATCACCCTAAAATATGGCCGGGCTCAGCGGCTCACACCTGTAATCCCAGCACTTTGGGAGGCTGAGGCGGGCAGATCACCTGAGGTTGGGAGTTCGAGACCAGCCTGGCCAACATGGTGAAGCATCATCTGTACTAAATACAAAAATTAGCTGGGCAGGGTGGCGCATGCCTGTAGTCCCAGGTACTCGGGAGGCTGAGGCAGGAGAATCACTTGAACCCAGGAGGCGGAGGTTACAGTGAGCTGAGATTGTGCCACTGCACTCCAGCCTGTGCAACAGACTGAGACTCAGTCTCAAAAAAAAAAAAAAAAATTACCCTAAAATAAATAGGAAAGGTAAGCAGTTTTTTAGAAAGAATGGAAGAAAAGAATATTATGTAAGCCTATAAAGAAGGTTAAGGCATTCAAAATATCTTTTAAACAACATAAAATTCTTCTAAACAGAAAACTGAAGAAAAAAACTATCACCATTTCTCCACTGATGAAATCTATTTTAAAAGGAGTCTGCAACATATCTGTGGGCCAGATTTTTCTTGGTCTTTTGGCAACACGAGGGGCCCTAAATGACAACTTCATTCTCAAAGAGTAGCAAGTGTGGACCATTTTCCCAGCAGCAGTCATCCAATGTCACTCTTCTTTAAGATGAAGATCGGAGCCATGACACATGCTAATGAAGCACAGGCTGATGGTTGACTTAGAAGATACCACTACGAGGTGAAGTAAACATTAGCTGAGCATCTTCTTTTTACAAAATTTTCTGAGTCTGATCATCAGGGAACTTCAGTATAGTGGTTATAACCTTTGCTATGGTCTTAGTCTCACGATCTATCATATACTCAAAAAGCACTTTTTGCAAATACTCAAACCTGGTGGGTTCTCCAAAGACTGAGACATCGGTGTGGTAGAAATTGCCACCTTTGTAAGGTGTCCCCACAGTTGTTGCATCTACATTATTTTCATATTTCTTCAAACAGTCACCTTTTTTTTTTTTTTTTTTTTTTTGAGATGGAGTCTGGCTCTGTCGCCCAGGCTGGAGTGCAGTGGCGCGATCTCGGCTCACTGCAGGCTCCACCTCCCGGGTTCACGCCATTCTCCTGCCTCAGTCTCCCGAGTAGCTGGGACTACAGGCCCCCGCCACCACGCCTGGCTAATTTTTTGTATTTTTAGTAGAGACGGGGTTTCACCGTGTTAGCCAGGATGGTCTTGATCTCCTGACCTCGTGATCCGCCCGCCTCGGCCTCCCAAAGTGCTGGGATTACAGGCGTGAGCCACTGCGCCTGGCCCAAACACTATTCTAAATAGTGAACCTGTTCTCTGAACTCTTGGTCTTTCAGTTTTGAATCACTGATTAAAGTCATCTTCTTACACCTGGTTTATTGTGCTGGTCTTCATTAAGTCTTACACACGGTTCCTGAAATTGTTGCTATATAAAAGGATTATTTTCATATCTCTGTTCTTGACCCAAATAGCTTCACTATGCCCCTACTAGCTATACAGTCAAATCCAAAGTCCTTAAAAACCTCTTTAAAAGACCCAATGTATCTTTTTATCAGTTATCTTAAAAAAAAAAAAACTCTTGATATACATGATTAGTTTACTCACTCATGTCTAAATATTTCCACTTCAAGTTATATGTATATATACACATGTGTATATGAGTGTATATATAATATATACATATAAATATAATTTATATATATACATATATATAAATTAAGATATATACCTTAATTTTTCTACTAACAAAATTCCTTCTCCTCAATTAACAAGATTAAATTTTCACTTTCTCCACGGGAAGCACCACTGTATTCTAAAATGTATTCTCCTCTAAATTACTTATTATTTTAATCTTATCAATAAAAAGGAGTAGTTACCATTTATTTAGTGATTACTATGTCACAGAATCTATAATAACATCCCATAACTCTGTATATAGAGAGTTATATCAACAAACCCAACTTATGTTTATATAAATAACTTAGGTTAACAGGTCAATTTATATAAACTTAGGTTGGGTTTATTGATATAACTCTCTATATACAGAGTTGCGGGAAGTTATAGATTCTGTGACATAATAATCACTAAATAAATGTTAACTACTGTTTTTAATGATGAGATTAAAATAATAATTGATTTAATAATTACTTTGATAATCTTATCAATTATTTAATAATTGATAAGGTTAAAATAATAATTATATAAATTTACTTAGGTAAATTTATTACCTAAGTTATTTATACAACTACAGTTACATAAATAAGCCCAACTTAGTTTTATATAATTTATATGACTAGTTATATATAAATTTATATAACTACAGTTATAAAGTTTTATATCTATAGTTATACAAATTATATGTCATTAATATAACTGTAACAATAAGAGAATACCACAACCAATGTCTGCAGCAACTTCAGGCAACAGGTGCTAGCTGTAGTCCCATTTTATAGATGAGAAAACTAATGTTTAGAGATAGATAAAATAAACTAGCCAAGGCTTTTCAGTTAGTAAGTGTCTGAGCAGAGGTCTGAACCTAGGTATTCTGACTGTGGAGTTCATGCTGTTATTTACTAATATCGCTTCAAAACCAAGGGGCTCTGAATCCTTTTTGTAATTTTAATATAGTAATAACAATATTTTAAGACATTGTCTCAGTTTAATATTGCATAACTTAGTGCAATATACTATTTCAAAATTTCAAACATGATCATGATTATCTAGGCATAATCAAGTTTGAGCTTAGTTGCAGAAAGAAGGATAATATCTTGTAGTTTTTTGAGCTTGCTGTAATTTTCACATTGCTTAATGTGAAATAGTGTGCTTGGTAGTGAGACAAAAGTATTTGTTCAATCATTTATGTTAAATAACATATGTGAAAGATAAAATTGCTGTCACATGGACTGGCATATTTGCTAGTTTAGCTTGACTTGAATTAAGTGCAGATTAACTCATTAAGCAATGCTGAACCAGAAAGTCTGCTTTCATTAGCACCAGAAAAACAAAATCTTACTGTTGAAAAGTTCACACTCTGTTTGGAGGAAAACAGACAAAGGGTATGTGATAAACGCTGGAATCAAGGATCAAGATGCATGCACTATGCTATGAGTGCAGAGACAGAAGAAACAGAAAACTGTTCATAATTTTATTGAACTGTGGCTCAGTGAGTTTTAAAACAATTATTTCCCCAAACAGTCACAAGAAACATTGAACACTGTGTTAAGTGTGATGAAGGACACCCTGCTAAATGCTGTGGGGAATACCAAGTAGTATTAGCCAAGGTCCTGGCCCCGAAAAGCTTGAACTCTAGTTGGAGAGAGAATGAGGAAAAGTGTAAGATCTTAAAGTGCCAACCCAGAGGGCAGACAGATCTCTCTAAGTTGAAGTGATCAGTAGGTGCTTTAAAAACATAACAGATTTTTGCTGTCACAAAGGATGTGGAGAATTTAAGAAAGCATTTCTTTCAAAAGATTTGATTGCTACATCAAAGGAAGAAGTAAAACCATGGCAGCATCTTCAGTGGACGTGGGATGAGTATAACTGGAGCATGGGACTCTGAAGGGCCATGTCAGGAAATGTGGTTTTAAAAATGGCTTCTGGCCATCTTGTGGGAGGCACAAAAGGCCACCATGGCTCTGTGAATTGGCAAAGAAATGGACACAGACCGGAAGGCCAAGGTTCTTCCCCGTGGGAATTCAAGTCAGAATTCTGACCACCAGACCGAGATATTTTCCTTGAAAGCTACTCAGCTTTCATTCCTAGGGGCATTGTGATCCATCCATCATTGCTGAGGACTTCTGAGGGTCAGAACCTTCTGAGTACACCCCTTCCTCTGCTGTTCATTAGGGTGAATATGCCCACTTGCCTCTGGAAACCGAGTGCTGCCACTTGGCTTCTGCTGGCTTGCGATCAGATTTTCCCCTTTGACATCAGCAAGTCCATTTCATAGCAGCATTTCCAACAGTCACAGCTGGTCTATAAGGAAACTGGTCTACCAGAAAAGGTGGCGAGGCCTTTCAAGAAAATGTGCTCCTCTCACTAAAGTATTGCTGTAGCCTTAGTGAAGGGGGTGCCTCTGAACTCTCTCAGGAAGTGGGTATGAAAGCTGATAAATCTCAAAACTGTCTATCCCTTAAGCCTTTAGATCTCTTTCCTTACTAAATTGCTGGAAAGTTCTGGGATTTCAGGCTCATTAAGTGTAGGCCACTATTGAATCCAAGTTTTAGTCAGCTATTGACAGACTATTAAGCTCTTCCAGCTGCATAAGTTACACATTAAATGAAAAATCTGTTAAATACACTCATGAATATATTCAGCAGAGACATTGTATTGTCTCCTTTCTCTAACTCTCTTTGATGCCATTTACACATATATTTCCAGATTTATGTTGATACAAATTGGAAAACTCTGGCCATTATTTTAGAGTATAAATGATTTTTTCTTAGATTTTCTTTCTTTTTTCTTTTTCTCTTTTTTCTTTTTTTTTTCAGATGGAGTCTTGCTCTGTTTCCCGGGCTGGAGTGCAGTGGCATGATCTTGGTTCACTGCAACCTCTGCCTTCCGGGTTCAAGTGATTCTCCTGCTTCAGCCTTCTGAGTAGCTAGGACTACAGGTGCATGCCACCACACTTGGCTAATTTTTGTATTTTTAGTAGAGATGGGGTTTCACTGGGCTGGTCTTGAACTCCTAACCTCAGGTGATCACCCACCTCGGCCTCCCAAAGTGCTGGCATTACAGGCGTGAGCCACTGTGCCCAGCATCTTAGTCAGATTTTGAACTTTTCCTCTAGGTTCAGGCTAAAATATGATCTAGTTATGAATGTGTCAACTAAGGGTAGTTGAAGTGTCCTCAGAACAATGAGATCACATGGACACAGGAAGGGGAACATCACACTCTGGGGACTGTTGTGGGGTGGGGGGAGGGGGGAGGGATAGCATTGGGAGATATACCTAATGCTAGATGACGAGTTAGTGGGTGCAGTGCACCAGCATGGCACATGTATACATATGTAACTAACCTGCACAATGTGCACATGTACCCTAAAACTTCAAGTATAATAATAAAAGAAAAAAAAATTTAAAAAAAGAAAAAGAAAAGAAAAATAAGTACCCCTTGAATGCAATTGCCAATAGAAGTTTGCTACAGGGACCGCAAGCTAGGAAAGAAAAGCACCTTCCAATACAAAAAGGCAGACTGCTTCCACTGACAAAGGATGCTCACGTAATTTGAGGGTTGAAGATTCTCTGCTTCATTCACTCCTAGTCTCAGGATCCTAGCTTCTACCTAATTCATACTCTTCTGTTTTACTTGAGTGATGTTGAAAAGCTAAGAATTAACTTACACTATAATTCTGCAGCCTACACAATTAACATTTATGCTCATTTTTTTGAGGCTGACCCTTTAGCTATAAGATATTCTATAAGGATACTATAAAAGCTCTTTGATTCTCTGTATATTGATATGAATTTTTTAAAAACCCTGTTAGTCATTCTTTTTTTGTAAGCACCCCAGTGCAGTCAGTTACAAGCATTCCACCTCACAGATCTTGTGGTCCTTGAAATAATGTCCAAATGCCATTATTAAAAGAATTGCAGGGCCTGGCACGGTGGCTAACGCCTGTTATCCCAGCACTTTGTGAGGCCGAGGCAGGCAGATCACCTGAAGTCAGGAGTTCGAGACTAGAATGGCCAACATGGTGAAACCCTGTCTCTACTAAAAATACTAAAATTAGCCGAGGGTGGTGGCAAGCACCTATAATACCAGCTACTTGGTGGGCTTAGACAGGAGAATCGCCTGAACCCGGGAGGCGGAGGTTGCAGTGAGCCGAGATCTTGCCACTGCACTCCAGCCTGGGTGACAGAGTGAGACTCAGTCTAAACAAAAACAAAAAACAACAACAACAAAAAAGAAGAATTGCATGTTTTCCAATTCATATCAACATAAATCATGCACTTGTCCTCCAAGACACTGACTTTAGCAGGCATTTCATTACAATTAACCATACATCTGATCGGGATTAATTTCATTAATTATGATGCTACTGCATTTCATAGATTCTACTGTTCCAACACTTGATAAAACTATAGAATGGCCTACTAAAGACTTAGTTACAATGCCAGTAGGGAAACAAAAAGAGGGAGCTCATTATACAGGATGAAAAAGTATGTGTGAATCAAAAACCAGTAGATAGTATTTGTTCTATAGTCAGAATACATGGGTCAAGAAATCAAATGGCAATGACAGAAGTGCCTCCTTTCACTATTATACTGTCTAATTTATGAAAATTTTGCTTCTTGCTCTTAGAATATTAAGCTTTGTTGATTTGGAGGTCTTTGTTCTCTAGGAAGACAGAGTACCACCAAGGGACACAGCAATTCCACTGAATTGAAAGTT